>NC_000020.11:8854213-9005728 GCF_000001405.40 Homo sapiens | reverse complement strand
ATAACTTCGTTTGATATGGGAGGTAAGTAGCTGCAGCTGTTGGCCTTTTTTTTTTTTTTTTTTTTTTTTTTTTTTTTTTTTTTTTTTTTTCCAAATCACTTTTTGTTCTCTACTTTTGGTATTTGGAATCCTGATTTTCTGATAAAACTTTCGTCCAGGGATATGAAACTGATTCTAGAAGCCCCAAGTTCAGAAAAGGAAGCCTCCTCTGCAATTGTCTGAATATTCATCTCTCCAAAATTCATATGTTGAAAACCCTAGCCTCTAAGGTGATGCTATTAAGAGGTGCAGCCTTTAGCGGGTGATTGGGTCATGAAGGTGCAGTTCTCATGAACGGGATTATTGCCCTTGTGAAACGGGCCCAGAGAGCTTCCTTCCCAGCCTGCAGAACTGTGAAAAATAAACTTCTGTTGTTTATAAGCCATCCAATCGAAGGTATTCTGAGACACCCTCATTCTCCTCTTGTCACTGTGGCATGAATCTTGCAGTAAAATTCTCCTAAAAGTAGGAATGGAGCAGGAGCTGATTCTAATCTTGGAGGAAGTACTTCCCTTTCTGAGGAGTAGGAGCTGAGCTCAGAGGTCCCTGAGGTGTGAGCCCCTGCATCAGAGGCAGGAGAGAAGAGAGGAGAAAGACTGGGAGAAAGAAAAAGGACAGACAAATGAAGAAAATAGGCAGAAGAGAAATGAATGGAAGAGAGAGAAACAAGAGAGACAGATAGAAAAAAGGAATGAAGGCCGGGTGCCCTGGCTCACACCTGTAATCCCAACACTTTGTGAGGCTGAGGTGGGTGGATCAATTGAGGTCAGGAGTTCGAGAGCAGCCTGGCCAACATGGTGAAAACCTGTCTCTACTAAAAATACAAAAATTAGCCAGGCCTGGTGGCACATGACTGTAATCCCAGCTACTTGGGAGGCTGAGACAAGAGAATCAATTGAACCTGTGAGGCGGAGTTTGCAGTGAGCAGAGATCCGGCCACTGTACTCCAGCCTAGGCAACAGAGGGAGATTCTGTCTCAAAAATAAAGAAAGAGAGCGAGAGACAGAGAGAGAGAGGAAGGAAGGAAGGAAGGAAGGAAGGAAGGAAGGAAGGAAGGAAGGAAGGAAGGGAAGGAAAGGAAAAAAGAATGAAGATTGAGTGAGTATCTCCTATGAGCCAGCCACTTTGCTAGGCTCTTTAGACTTGCTAATCCCCTTTATTCCCACAAACCCCCTAAATTAGATGTTACTGCTTACAGTTTAGAGACAATAGAGACATAGGGTAATTTTTCCATCCAGTATATAACTGGAGCTGCTGGGGTGGGGAGCTGTGTTTTAATTACTGCTCAGTAACAACCAGAGATTGCAAAATCAGATTCCTAAAAGGAAGCAAGCAGGTAACACGAAGGTATGATTTGGGTTGAGTGTTGGGAGCTATGGCCAAATGGAATATGTTTGCCCCAACTAAAAACATTCCACTTTGTAAAAGTCCTGTGCTGGTTTTTCAACACCCTTCTGGGTTCCAGCTGATAGAACTTTAGTTTAAGACCTGTGGATAATGCCGTAATCTAAGCCTATTCCTCTCATTCTAGCTCTTCAGTACTCTTCCTCCTTATTGTCCTCTCCAAATCTTGTTTCCCTTTCTGTTCCTCTCTCTTTCCTCTCATTTCCAAAGGTTCACTGTAATTAAGAATATTCTCTTATTCCTTCTAATCCACCAGAATGCCTGGGTCAGTTAGTTCTATCTCCTTTGCTTTTTAACTCTACTAACATAAACGTAGATTTTAACTTGTTGCAATAAAAGCTCGGTTCATTTAGAATCTGAGTGATGGAAGAAACCTCAGAAATAATAAAATCTGGGACTGTGATTTTCCCTTCAAAGAATTTAAGGGTCAAGCGTCACAGGCTTTCTCAAAGTCATATGGGTTTCCCAAGGTCATAGGGGTTTCCCAAAGTCATTTGGCTTTTTACCAACATAGCCAAACATTAAAGCTAAGTATCCTCATTTTTCTTGAAGAACAGTTTCTCCAATCCTTTTACTCAAGTAACACAGAAAATTTCTGCTTATTAATTATAGCAATTAGTAAAAGGAATGGTTCAGAGATTGCAAACACATGGGGGAAGGGACAATAAGTCACGTTTATATGGAACTTCACCATTTCAAATCTCAGGCCAGGCGCGGTGGCTCATGCCTGTAATCCCAACACTTTGGGAAGCCAAGGCAGGTGGGTCACCTGAGGTCAGGAGTTCAAGACCAGCCTGGCCAACGTGGAGAAACCCCATCTCTACTAAAAATACAAAAATTAACAGGGCATGGTTGTCCCAGCTACTCAAAAGGCTGAGGCAGGAGAATTGCTAGAACCCAGGAGGCGGAGGTTGCAGTGAGCTGAGATCGCCCCACTGCACTCCAACCTGGGTGGTAGAGTGAGACTCCGTCTCAAAAAAAAAAAAAAAAAATATATATATATATCTTATTTGCTCATCAGAACAAGCTTTGGAGATGGGAAGAAAAGGCATAACACTTTACAGGTGGGGAAATGGAGAATGAAAGAGCATGAGTTATTCGTCTAAAGTTACATCCTAGGAAAGTTAGAATAAGAAATCCAGCCTCTGGCCCTTACTTTAATTCCCTTTCCATTATGCCACTCGGTTTCTCTTTTTCATAAGGAAATCAGTACTTATGGGCATCAGTGCTGTGTGTTTGTTTATTTTACTTGTGATTTACTAATTTATCTAACAATCATAAAAGCTACTTAGTTTACCTAGTGTAGTGTCTACTCTCTCTTTGGACCCCTGATACCTGCATGCTACCAAGGCCAGGCTAGCTTTCTGGAAGAAGAGAGATCACATGGAGGGGAGCCCAATTATAACATCTAGAGGCTTCCTAGACTGGCCTTTAGCCAGCTAACCTCCAAACATATGAGAGAGACTAGCCAAGAACTGCAGAGCTGCTTCTTCAAAATACAATATGGAGGCATGAATGAGCCCAGTCAAGACCACAAGTATATGCAGCTGACCTGGAGACATGTGAGCAATAGTAAGTTTTTATTACTTTAAGGTATTGAGTTTTGGGATGTGTTGTTATGCAGCAGTAGCTAACTGATACAATGCCTTATTTTAGGGGCCTGTGTCACAGATTTGACATAGACAAACCACCATAGTTTCTACCAATTGCACTGTTGGTTTTAAAGGATGATAAGTTTGGAATCTACCTTTTAAAAACCCTCTAAACTGATTTTTAAAAGTTGCTAGACTGCTTGCCTGATTGACTGATGGACTGTGTAGTTTTGTATGGTGATAATATGAAGAAGTATTGGTTGCTAGGGCAGGGTGTGTGAATGGGCTATTATGAGACATAAAACCTTACCTGGCTGCTAAAATGTTAATTCAAGCAGTGAAATGTTTTAAAAATACCTGGTCATTTTATGAAAACAATTTTTAGTTTCTTCCTGGGTCATGAGTTTTAGGTCTCTTTATGAGGAATTGAAGGAATCCAAAAGGCCTGAAGAAATGGACACAGAATATAAAGTATTTGTTACTGTCTTAAGCCATGCATTCTCAATCAACAGGGGCAATATTGCTTCCAAAGGAAATAAAATTGGTTTTTGGTGTGTGTGTGGTGTTGTGGGTGGGGGGCAGGATTTTAGATGTTACAGTGGCCTTTGGCCCATCAAAGGACCAGAGTAACATAAACAGATACACGGGATATCGTGGTGTTAGGGTTTTATCAATTGGGTGGAGTGGGGAGGAGATTAGTATGAAAACATCTAAAAAGTCTCTTTACGGGGTCAGTAATAAAGAACAATTTGACGAACACTGTTCTAAACAGAGGCTAACACCAAATTGTCATGGCTAATAATTTCTTCATCATATCCCTCTCACATTGTTTATTTTTTAATCTTAATTTATATCCTTTAATGCTTCTGGTTTCTATTTTCCATTTTTCACTCAAAATAAAACCCGTCTCTCTTCACTTCTGGAGTAACTTCCAGAGTAGAATTGTTACTAATATTGTCATCATCATCATCATCATTATTTACTCTTTGTAAGGTGCCACTAGCAAACACTGTCTCTGGATAAACATGTCCCATCTGCCACAGGTTCTTTATCCTTGTTGCCATGGCATCTCTTAAGATACAAGTCTCTTAAACCTCTCTAGTTTAGCAGCAGGTGCTAAGAAAACAATTTATCAGTGTACCTAGAGAAGGAGGTAAGAAGGCATTTTCATATTGTCTGCTGGGGATGGAGTCTCCCTTCCCTGATTTCATGTTTCCATTAAAGAGATTTCTAAAGGGTAACACTTCTGGTCTTTTTCCATTCCCTTACCCAGTCCTCTGAAGGACAGGAGAAAAGACTCAATTGATAGGTGAGTTCAGAAGAAGCTCAATTCCAAGCTGGTGTCAATTTGCTCTGTGGTACCAGCCTGCTAGCAAAGATCATTCACATTCTCATCCCTTTCATTATGTAAGTTTTTCAGGAACAGGCCCCCATGGGGCAACTGGTGTTTTCCCAAGAACCTGTAATTCATACACAAATTCCACTCAGGAAGCCATATTGGAGAGCAGATAGAAAGCACTTTCCTGCATTTAGCATTTTTGAGACATAAAAGTTATACTTTGAATTCTGATTGATGTCTGCATCCACCTCCTTGTTGGTTCCAAATTTGGATGGGTTAAAAAATGGGTGCTAGACATTAACTTCCTTAAATTCCCACATGAATTTTCCTTAGAAGAAATTTTTCTAAAGTTGAAATAACCTTTTCCAGTTCAACCTCTATACATAGCCTCTCCATTAGACTGTGGAATGGCTGGATTCCATAATTTATACCACCTACATGGCTCACCCAATGTCCTGCAAAAAGTTTAATGCATGAATCCTTGGATTTTATTAAAGTTGCCACCACTGAGTCAGGTGTGACAATCTTCTGCCTAATATTGCTATCCTGTAGCGTTCATGATGTGAGAGTCAAGGACTCTTAAAGGGAGAAGTTCGGTATTATCTTCCCTTATCTGCAATGCAATTTCTTCATATAGTTATTCAACAAATATACATGTGTTATTGGCAGCGAATCCATACAGGTCTGCAGCAACTTCAATTCTTGCCTCCTCAGAAGAAAGAATTTGACTGAGGAGGTATAAGGCAGAAGGAGAGACTGAGGCAAGTTTTAGACCAAGAGTTGTCTAAAGTTCAATGTAAAGTTTATTAAAAAGCTTTAGAGCAGGAATGAAAGGAAGTAAAGTACACTTGCAAGAGGGCCAAGAGAGTGACCTGAGAGATCAAGTCCTTGGTTTGACCTTTTGATTTGAAGTTTTATATGTTGGCATGTTTCCGGAGTCTTGTGGTCCTTCTCCCCTGATTCTTCCGTGGGGTAGGCTGTGTACATGTGCAGTGGCCTGCAAGCCCTTGGGAGGGGAGCATCCGCAGTGTGTTTACTGGAGCTGTACGCATGCTCGCTTGAGGTATTCTTCCCTTACCAGTCAGATATTCCTAGAAGGTCATATACCAGTTAAACTCTACCATTTTGTCTCTTAATGCACATGCATGAACCCATTCGCCCAGCTCCTGAGATCTTCTTAGGAAGCTTCTGATCACCAGTTTCAGGTGTTTATGTTTATTGAGAAACTGCCTTTCCCTGGTGCTGGCTATGGCAAATTATTACTTTAGAGAGACAGTTAACAACCACCTGACCATCACCCAATGGTCGCCTGACATTCTCGGGGTGTGTGTGTGTGTGTGTGTGTGTGTGTGTGTACAGGGAGCCCTCTCCTGCTCTGCTCATGTCTGACTAGCTACTTACTGTAACACACGCAGCACACATAAATATTCTGCTTTTACTTGCTACTCTAGACTCTCTTGTGGTAATGGAAGTCCATAAGACACATTTTAAATTATGAAACCTAAACAGACCTCTGCTGTGCAACTTCCGGAATAACTTTTGCTTTCATGAAAAAACGGGTAAACCTGGCTGGTGTTTCCATTTCCTGACTTAATTGTAAGCATAGTACCCAGAAGCATAGTAGCCATCTTGTACCTACGAGTTTATTAATAATAATAAAGATGAAATAAAATCAGTCATGACCTCAGGATGTTGAAGCAGCAAGGCAGAAAGGGCTAGAATTCCTATTTGCAATTTAAACTGTATGAATCACAGCCACCAACTGCCTACCTCCAGATTGCTTTTTACTTTGAGCAGGCAGAGAATAAACCTTCTTTGTTAAGGCTGTGTTAGCCAGGTTTTTGTCACGTGTAGACAAAAATTTTTCTAATAGAAAACATGCAACAATGGATAAGATATTAATTCTACTCTGAAGCTACCCAATGTCTACAGTCACCTCAATATAGGTGACAGCGTTATGATAAAAGTACATACAGGAAGAATGAATATGGAAAACAGACCAGTAACTTAGTCTAGACTGGGCCTTTTGGAAGAGTTAAATTCAAGATAAAATCTGGAAATAAGAAGGAGTAAATTAGAGCTGGGTGCAGTGGCTCATGTCTGTAATTTTGGGAGGCCAAAGCAGGAGGATTGCTTGAGGCCAGGAGTTTGAGACCAGCCTGGGCAACATAGCAAGACCCAGTCTCTACAAAAAATTTTTAAAAGTTAGCTGGGTGTGGTGGCATGTCCCTGTAGTTTTAGCTACTAGGAAAGCTGAGGCAGGAGGACCCCTTGAGGCCAGGAATTTGAGGTTGCAGTGAGCTATAATAATCATGCTACTGCACTCCAGCCTGAGTGATAGATCAGGACCCTGTCTTTTATTTATTTATTTATTTGATACAGAGTCTCGCTCTGTCACTCAGGCTGGAGTGCAGCTCATTGCAACCTCTGCCTCCCAGGTTTAAGCGATTCTCCTGCCTCAGCTCCCGAGTAGCTGGGATTACAGGCACCCACCACTATGCCTGGCTAATTTTTGTATTTTTAGTAGAGATGGGGTTTCACCATGTTGGCCTGGCTGGTCTAGAACTCCAGACCTCAAATGATCTGCCCGCCTCGGCATCCCAAAGTGCTGGGATTACAGGCGTGAGCGACCATGCCCAGCTGACCCTGTCTTTTAAGATAATAAAAATTTAAAACATTGTAAAAGAAGGAATAGGTTAGGTAAAGGGTTAAGGGAACTAGATAGAGGCCCGGCTAGAAAAGATAGCAATAAGATAATAGAGTTAGAAGAGGGGAGGGACTAAAGCCCAATGAGGATGGAGAGATGAGACATAACCAAGGACAAGAGGTGAGTCAAATCAAACCTACCCCCTAGTGAAAATATCATCCTCCTTATCGTACCTTGAGTGGCAGAAGGATATTGGAACCACCATACATCATGAGTGAAGGATCATGTTTAATTATTATTTCCTACTGGTTTCCCTTCTATTAAGAAATACATCTCCTTATACATACTGAAAAAATTTTTGTGATGATTTAATATACAAATCTCATAAGCTTTCTGTAATCCCTGCTGGGGATAATCCAGAAACAAAGCTGTCTCAGATGCTTAACAATAAATATTCCATTCAGTATTCTCCTGTAAAAATATATTTTGGACTCAAATCTGTGTTATATCTTCCTTGAAGCTCTCCAAATTCTTTAGGCTTTTATGATCCAGTTCTCCTTTTGCCGTTAGTGATGGCTGAGTGAATCAGGAGATTCATGGAATCTACTGGTTATCGGGTATTCTTGCCTGAAAGGAGGGGATGTGAAGGCTCAGAGTGGCCTCGTGGGCTGAACCAAGCAATCCTAAAGAGAGGGGTGTTTGGAACGACCTTGACTTGATGATTCTCCTTTCAGCTCCTTTTACCATTCATTGACAGCAAACATTAACTTCCACCTGTCCATGATTGCTTAATGACATCCCCCAAATTTAGTGGCTTAAAACAACCACTATTTATTTAGCTCATAATATGGTGGTTCAGTTCTTGTTTCACATTTGGCTTATCTTGGTTGGGCTTGCTCATGCATTTGTTGTCGGCAAGTGAGTTGGAGCTGTCTGCATTTGTGATGTTTGGAGTTGTGACAGATGGGCTAACTGGGGTCTTTTCTGCATAGTCTCTCAACCTCCAAGCTTTTCATATAGCAGTTTCAGGCTCCAAAAGCAATAAATGAGCAAGCTCCAATGTATAAGTACCTTCCAAGTGTTTTAGTCAATTTAGTGTTGCTATAAAGAAATATCTGAGGCTGGGAAATTTATTTTAAAAAGAGGGTTATTTGACTCAGAGTTCTGCAGGCTATACAAGGAGCATGGCACCAGCATTTACTTCTGGTGAGGGCCTCAGGAAACTTTCACTCATGGTGGAAGGCAAAGCAGAGCCAGCATGTGTGAAAATCACATGGCAAGAAGGAAAGCCAGAGAGAAGGGAGGTACCAAGCTCTTTTTAACAACCAACTTGGGAACTAATAGAGTGAGAACTCACTCATCCCCTCCCCCAGGGAGGGCATTAATCTATTCATGAGGAATCTGCTCCCATGACCCAAATACCTCCCACTGGGCTCCACCTCCAACATTCAGGATCAAATTTCAACATGAGATTTGGAGGGGGCAAACATCCAACATATAGCACCATGTTTCTGCTTATATTATGTTTGCTACTGTCCCATTGGCTAAAGCAAGTCATGTGGCCAACATTACCTTCAAGAGAGTGGAAAAACAGATTTCTCTTAACAGGAGAAATGACAAACGCACCTTGCAAAGAATATGGATGCTAGAAGGGGTATAACGTGTGGTCAGTTTTGGCAATCAGCCAACCACAGTGGCATATTGAAATCAACTGGGGATAATGCTTGAGGCTTAGGCAGCACACTACACCAATTGCATCAGAATTCCTGAATGTTGGAGTTGGTGTATTATTTTTTATTTATTTATTTTTGCTAATGGCCTAGAGTGCTTCCTCTAGCCTGGGACACCAGTTTATAGAAGAGAGTTAGGCCCTTTGAGAAACTTACTTTACAGTTGGTAAATTTTTCCATAGTTCAGGACTTTTTGATATGCCAACATGATTTTGGTCTAGCTGACTTGTCAGGTCAGTTCTGATAAAACAGTCAAGACTTGTTGGTCTCTGTAAACCAGATTTCTTCAAACTTTAGTGTGCATCAGAATTTTCTGGAGTTCTTTTAAAAACAGACTGCTGGACCCCATCTTCAGAGATTCTGATTGAGTAGGTCTGGGGTAAAGCCCAAGAATGTGCATTTCTGACAAGCACTCAGGTGATGTAGCTCCTGCTGACTGGGGATGATATTTTGAGAAACTGCTCATGCATATACTGCCTCGATTAAGTATGATGCATAACCAGGTTAGTCTCATTGCCCTGTAGAAGCACTGTGGCTAAAGTGACCTTTGCAGTAGTTTTCAAAACCTTTAACCCCAGGGCATTAAGTATTTCTAAGGAGTAAGTAATCACTACTACAGGGGAAGGAGCCTCCTCTGGGACCAGAGATGGTTCCAATTGCCTGAGACCATTAAAAACCTCAATAGGACTCCCACTTGGCTAACCATTCCATGCTTTGCCTTCCCTCACAACTTCTATTAAATTATCAGAAAAGATGAGGATTTGAAGTAGCTGCAGCAAAGAAGCCTGAAGTTTTCAGTCCCCAACAATAAAAGTCAGAGCTATTACAGTGAACTCAGTCATCCAGTTAACAATATCATCCAGAACGCACAAAATATCTCAAATGTATCCCTGGGGAGTCTATGAACCTGACCTTCTACAAATTGGGAGCTAGTAAGAATAGCGACAGACCACTTGCTCTTTTTGAGATAAGAGCAAATGCTTTTTAAGTGCAATATTTGCAGCTCATGCCTTGATCATAATGAACAAAACACTCTGGTTTATCCTGATAATTGCAATGGAGAATGAAGGGGCTCTTATCAGTACTGGCCAGAAAATTATTTTCTATTCTTTAATGTAATCAGGAATCTATTTATAAAATACGTATTCCATCTAAGTATTCCCACTTATTAGGTAACAGGACTTCAATAGTCTGCTAGACCAGCAGCTCACTCTCTATGGGAATTTCCAAACGAGACAAGGATGGCTTTATATAACATGTGTGCCATTGGCTGATACTCTGATTTTCTGCTCAAAGTGACATTGCCAGCTTTGCCAGAGCTTGCTACCTTAACCCTAACTCCAATTAATTTAATCAGTGCTCAGCTTGAGCCACTGAGATGATGCTGATCTGCCCTTGACCTCTAATTATTTCTTCTCCTTGGGGGCTTTGGTCTTTCCTTATTCCACGTGCCCCTAAATCTCCAATGTTTGTATCTCTGTTTGGCCAGTCAAGAAAAACTTTCTCCCTCTAAACTTCATATCTTCTGAAAATAAGTTCTGCAGCAGAGATGTTTGGGCATCAATTAATATAGCTCCTTCTGTTTTATCATATAACCCTTTCCTTCCGTGTGTATATAGGAATGACCTGGGGACATTGGTTCAAGTACACATTAATGTGATAATAATAACAATAATTATGACATCACAATAATAAAAGTAACTATTATTAGGGAACACTATAATGAATTCTTACTGGTTATCATGCTTTATAGTGAATTAATATGTTTAGTCTGGTAGTAAGAGATTATGATGCCCATTTTATGGATGAGGAAACAAGCACAGGGAAACTCCTATTTTTCCAAATTTCCCTCTCACAGAATCTGCAGGCATAACCACTAAACTCAGACCCACTGCCATTTTCAATATGCAGGCTCTGTTGAGTGTAGGCTATGGTCTCAGATTCTTCCTCAATTCAGGAAACCTTCATCTCAAGATCCCTATTTGGTATCATGATGGAATGGTGGTATAATTAATGGACAGCCAAGAAGCTCAGTTAGAAGATGAAACATTTCTTTAAAGACAAATAATATGGAAATCCATGAAGATAGTGATGCAAGGCAGGAGAGCCCTGAAGCATGCTCCTAACCTGAAGGGCAGAATTCTAAATTCTCCAAATAGCTACCGGGATAATCAGCTGCTACACTGATCCCCAAAAAGAGAGGATTGTAGCAGCAGTGAGAAGTCTACCCTTCCTCTTCCACAAAGCATTTTTATACACTCCTGCATTCCGCACTTCACCATCCCACCTGTCTTTTCTGGAGACTATTTAGCAGGTATAGTACCTGGAACAAAATAACCTCAGCTCATTTTGAGGTATTTAAGGTTATTAGCCTGAAAGGATTAAAGATCAAGTTACCAGGCATAGGATCCCTCAGCAAGGCCAGGTTTAGCCCAATTTAGGTCAATTTCTGCAGAACTGTTGCCCTCCGCACCAATGGTCTCCCTTCTTCCCCTCTAAAAGACTCTCAAATATTTGCATATGTCTCATTTATGAAGTTTTAGTCTGGAATTATTTTCTTCCTGGTCACCCTGAGCCACATACATATTAGGGGATGTGGCTAGATGCAGGATAGTCATGGGGGTAGAGTGGAGGGTGAGGGGAAGTAGACTGTTTACTTCTTATTGTCACATCTAAGCTTCTGCTCTGACATGGCCACAAACCTCATTGTGGTATTTTCGTTAAGAGAATGTCAGTTCAAATTAGCCAGGCATGGTGGCTGGTGCCTATCATCCTAGCTGCTCAGGAGGCTGAAATGGGAGGATTGCTTGAGGTCAGGAGTTCAAGACTAGTCTGGGCAACATAGTGAGATCCTATCTCTACAAAAACAATTTTGTTTAAATTAGCCGGGCGTGGAGGGTTGCTTGAGCCCCAGCCTTCGAGGATGCAGTGAGCTATGATCATGCCACTGCACTCCAGTGTGTGTGACAGAGAACTTGTCTCAAAAAAGAAGAAGAAGAAAAAAAAACAGAAAGAAAGAAAATGTCAGTCCAATAAGCCAACAGAGTGTGGGTAACCCAGGCATCTCAGGAATGAGGCCAAACAATTAATAATATTAAGATTATTTACTACACACACTCACTGGGTAAATGACTATTTGTGTGGAATGAAGAGACGGGGGACCACTTGTAGGGGGGCCTTGGGTCAGTAGGAGCCCCAGTAACATGTTTATCTCAAGCCAGTCAACTTGGAGCTATTTTAACATCTGAGTTTCACAGAAGCTGCACTACATAGAACAAAAACATTGAGATTGAAAAAATTGTTTCAAATGGGCTTTCTAGCTTCAAATTTACTCAATTTCTCAAAAGAAAAAACAAATTAAATAATTTGCAAGATCTGGCTCTACCACTGTTTTCCATCTAAGATTGCTGATTCCATATTTCTTTTATTTGTATAAAGGCAAACTCAGATGTGACCAATTTGAATATTTGATTGAAAAAATTTGTAGTATTTTAAAATAAGTTTAGCCTAACAATCTTTTTTATCTAGAAACTTCATTTATACTTATTTATTTGTTATCTAGAGACTTCATTTATATTTATTTATTTTTTGTTATCTAGAGACTTCATTTATATTTATTTATTTGTTATCTAGAGACTTCATTTATATTTATTTATTTATTTGTTATCTAGAGACTTCATTTATATTTATTTTGATTACTGGTGTATCTCAATTAATTTCTGCTATTTTAGTTCTCACTTTCTATTTGACCTATTTTAAAAAACATTTTTTGTTTTCTTTTCCTACTTTGTTTTTAATGAATTTTCACCTCATTCTAACTTTTTCTCTCTACTAATAGTGTCTATTCTTTAGAAAATTCCATTTTTTAAGCAAATATCCTGGAAATATTAATATCACTATTTAGCTGAAGAGTTCAAAATGAGTATCAATGTGTTTATCTGCTCCTGCACAATAATAAAATATTTGAAACTACTTTAAGTTGACTTATTCCCCAAGTTATATATTTTGTTGCTCTATCTTGAATTTTGTATTTTTCTACTGTTTACACTGTGAATATTTGCTTGGCCCTTTGCATATTTCATCCATTTTTCTTGCTCAAAATCCCTTCTTGCATCTCATATCTATGTTTCTGGAATCACTTTTTTGCCCAGACCAATATTCTGAGTTTCTCCAGTGTTTTCTTGTAATAGTATCATAGTTTCAGGTCTTAGATTTAAGTCTTTAATCTATTTTGATTTTATTTTTGTATATGGTGAGACATAGGGGTCTAGTTTCATTCTTCTGCATATGAATATCCAGTTTTCTTAGTACCATTTATTGAAGAGACTGTCTTTTCCCCAGTGTATATGTTCTCGGTACCTTTGTTGAAAATGAGTCCACTGCAGGTGTGTGGATTTTTTTCTAGGTTCTATATTATGTTCCATTGTTCTGTGTATCTGTTTGTATGCCAGTATCATGCTGTTTTGGTTATTATAACTCTGTAGTATATTTAAAGACAGGTAATGTGATTTTTCCAGCTTTATTTTTTTGCTCAGGATAGCTTTTGCTATCCTGGGTCTTTTGTGGTTCCATATAAATTTTAGAATTATTTTTTCTGTTTCTGCAAAGAATATCATTGGTATTTTGACAGGGATTGCATTGAATCTGTAGATTGCTTTGGGTGGTATGGACATATTAACTATACTGATTCTTCTAATTCATGAACACAGAATATCTTTCCATTTTTAAAATTTCAATTTAATTTTATTTGTGCTATTATAAATGAGATTACTTTCTTGATTTCTTTTTCAGATTGTTCACTGTTGGCATATAGAAATGCTTCCGATTTTGGATATTGATTTTTGATCCTGCAACTTTACTGAATTTGTTTTTCAATTCTCATAGTTTTTTGGTAGAGTCTTTGGGTTTTTCCAAATATAAGATCATATCATCTGCAAACAAAGATAATTGGACTTCTTCCTTTCCAATGTGAATGTCCTTTACTTCTTTCTCTTGTCTGATTGCTGTAGCTAGGTCTTCTTGTACTATGTTGAATAACAGTGGGGAAAGTGGGCATTCTTGCTGCCTAAACACATTCCTTAGATGACCTTTTAGAATAAAATTGTTGCCAGTAAACTGATTCACTATTTTTTCCCTCTCACAAAGTATGACATAAGAGTGCATATAATATATATGTTTATATAATTAATAGGGTTATTTCAGTTTCACTATATAGCTCTCT
This sequence comes from Homo sapiens, assembly GCF_000001405.40. Taxonomy (NCBI): domain Eukaryota; kingdom Metazoa; phylum Chordata; class Mammalia; order Primates; family Hominidae; genus Homo; species Homo sapiens. Next base: position 8,991,756 of record NC_000020.11, on the reverse strand, counting down.
CCTATATTATTTAAACAAACACCACCCAGTTTATGCTTTCTCAGTTTTTATTTGTCTGAAAATGTCTATATTTAACATTTGCTCTCAAAAGATATTTTTACTGAGTATAGAATTCGGGCTTGAAAAATATAGACATACATCATTTTATTTCACTTCATTTTATTGAGCTTTGCAGATATTGTGTTTTTTTACAAATTGTAGATTTGTGGCAACCCTGGTCAAGCAAATGCGTCAGTGCTATTTTTCCAACAGCATGCGATCACTTCATATCTCTGTGTCACATTCGGTAATCCTCGCAATATTTCAAATTTTAAAATTATCACATTTGTTATGGTTATCTGTGATCAGCAATCTTTGATGTTACCATTGGAATCATTTGGGGGCACCAAGACCCATGCCCATAAAAGACAGTGAAGTTAATTGATAAATGTGTGTATTCTAACTGCTCCACAGACCAGCCATTCCCTCATCTCGCTCCCTCTCCCCAGGGCCTCTCTATTCCCCAAGGCACAACAATACTGAAAATAGGCCAATTAATGATCCTACAATGGTCTCTAAGTGTTCAGCTGAAAGGAAGAGCTGCATATCCCTTACATTAAACCAAAAGCTAGAAATGATTAGGCTTAGTGAGAAATGCATGTTGAAAGCAAAGATAGGCCTAAAACTAGGCCTCTTGCACCAAACAGCCAAATTGTAAGGGTAAAGGAAAAGTTCTTGAAGGAAATTAAAACTGCTAATCCAGTGAACACACAAATGAGAAGAAAGCAAAAGAGCAGCATTATTGCTGATGTGGAGAAACTTTGAGTGGTCTGGATAGAAGACCAAATCAGCTACAACATTCTCTTGAGCCAAAGCCTAATCCAGAGCAAGTCTCTGATTTTCTTCAATTCTAGGAAGACCAAAAGAGGTGATGAAGCTACAGAAGAAAAATTTGAAACTGGCAGAGTTTGGTTCCTGAGGTTTAAGGAAAGAAACCATCTCCATAACATAAAAGTGCAAGGTGAAGCAAGCAAATGCTGATGGAGAGGGAGGCTGCTGCAAGTTATCCATAAGAATTTTCTTTTCTTTTCTTTTTTCCTTTCTTCCTTTCCTTCCTTTCTCCTTCCTTTCTTCCTTCCTTCCTTCTCTTTTCCTTTCCTTTCCTCTCCTCTCCTCGCCTCGCCTCTCGTCTCCTCTCTTTTTAGAGATAGGGTCTTGCTCAGTCACCCAGGCTGGAGTGAAGTGACACAATCATAGCTCACAGTAGCCTTGAACTCCTGGGGCCAAGGAATCCTCCCACCCCAGCCTCCCTAAGTAGCTAGCACTACCGGTGTGCCATTGCACCCAGCTAATTTCAAACAACAACAAAAAAATTGTTTGGTAGAGATGAGGCCTCGTCTCAAGCAATCCTCCTGCCTCAGCCTCCCAAAGTGCTATTACAGACACAAGCCACTATGTTGGGCCGACAGGCTTTCAATGTAGACAAAACATCCTTGTATTGGATGAAAGCCATCTAGGACTTTCACAGCTAGAGAGAAGTCAAGGCCTGACTTCAGAGCCTCAAAAGACAGGCTGACTCTTGTTAGAGGCGAATGCAGCTGGCGACTTTAAGTTGAAGCCAATGCTAATTGACCATTCTGAAAATCCTAGGGCCCTTAAGAGTTATACTTAATCTACTCTGCCTGTGCTCTGTGAACTAAAAAAAACAAAGCCTGGATGATGGCAAATCTGTTTTCAGTGTGGTTTACTAAACATTTTAAGTCCACTGTTGAGTATTACTTCTCAGAAAAAAGGATTTCTTTCACAATGTGCCTAGTCACGCAAGAGCTCTGATGGAGATGTGTAAGGAGAGTAATGTTGTTTTCATGCCTGTTAACACAGTATGCATTTTGTAGCCCATGGATCAAGGAGTCATTTCGACTTTCATGTCTTGTTATTTAAGAAATACATTTCATGAGGCTATAACTGTTATAAATAGTGATACTTCTGATGGATATGGGCAAAGTAAATTGAAAACCTTCTGGAAAGAATTTACCATTCTGTATGCCATTAAGAACAGTCACGATTCATGGAAGGAGGTGAAAATATCAACATTAACAAGAGTTTGGAAGGAGTTACTTTCAACCCTCATGAATGATTTTGAGGGATTCAAGGTTTTAGTGGAGGAAGTCAATGCAGATGTCGTAGAAATAGCAAGAGAACTAGGATTAGAAGTGGATCTTGAAGATGTGACTGAATTGCTGCAATCTCATGAGAAAACATGAACGGATGAGGAGTTGCTTCTTCTGGATGAGCAAATAAAGTGGCTTCTTAAGATGGAATCTGCTCCTGGTGAAGATGCTGTGAACGTTGTTGAAATCACAATAAAAGATTTAGAATATTTCATAAGGTTAGTTGATAAAGCAGCGGCAGGTTTGAGAGGATTGACCCCAATTTCCAAAGAAGTTCTGCTATGGGTAAAACACTATCAAAAAGCACCAAATGCTACAGAGATATCTTTCACAAAAGAAAGAGTCCATCAATGTGGCAAACTTAATTGTTGTCTTATTTTTTTCAATTGCCACAGCCACTCCAACCTTCAGCAACCACCGCCCTGATCAGTTTGCAGCCATCAACATTGAAGTGAGAACTTCCACTAGCAAGAATATTACAACTTGCTGAAGACTTAGATGATTATTAGCAATTTTTAGCAATCAAGCATTTTTTTTAAATTAAGGTATATACATATTTTTAGACATAATGCTATTACATACTTAATAGACTATAAAATAGTGTAGTCTATTAAGTGAATAACTCAGAATAACTTTTATATACACTAAGAAACCAAAAAATGTGTACGACTTGCTTTATTGAAGTGGTCTGGAAGTTGACATGCAATATATCCAAGGTGTGCCTGTATTTTCTCTTTGAACATATCATTCCACTTGTTTCTGTCTTCCATTGTTTTTAGAAGAAATAAGCTATCAGTCTAAGTTTTACTACTTTTTATGCAATATATCTTTTCTCCCCAGCTGCTTTTAAGACCTTCTCTTTTTTGGTTACTAAATTATGTTTAGGTGCAGATTTCTCTTTATTTATGCTGCTAACATTTTATTGCACTTTATGAAACTTACCCAATTCTGGAAAATGATAGCCATTATCTCCCATATATTACCACTCCTCCATTCACTTGCTTTTCTCCTTCTGACACTGAATAGATATATGCTGGAACTTTTCACTCTACCATCCACATCTGTTAACTTCTCTCTCGTAATTTCCATTGTTTGCTCTATGGGTTGATCTTTTGATAATTTCTTGATATCTATCTTATCCTTCAGCAGTGTCTAATCTACTATTTAATCCACTGGATTTCTCACTTACCTGTTATATTTTTCACCTTTAAAACATCTGTGTGATTGTTTTTCAAATCTGCTTGATAAATATTAATAGTCCCTTGTTTCTTTGTCATTATTTCCGTATCCTTTGAACTTAAAAAAAGCAAAAACAACTAAACAAACGTATTTCCTGTTCCACATCTGTTAAGTTAAACACCTGCTCTTTGAATAGGTCTTATTCTGGTGACCTGTCACCCTCCTTTGTCCTTTGTCCGCCCATTAAAACCAAAGATCTCAGATTCTGCTCCCTCCCACTAAATTAAAGACATCTTTGTCTGTGGTACAGATCTACCTGGTTAACCTTACACTTTGGCAGAACAGAGAGAAAGTTTGGAAAGTCTCTTCAGGTAGACCTTGCCAAGTGTCCCTGCCACATGCAGTCAGAAATCTACGAAGTGAAAAAGTAGGTAAGAGGGCCAGCTGTGCCTGAGTTTGAGTGGTTAAAGAGACAAAATATTGATGAGGTATCTGCTTTTGAGATGCGGCAACTTAGCCCACTAGTGAAACAGGAACCAATAAAGATCACTATTTCCCCAATTGGATCAATGAATCTTCCTCCTTTTTGGGAGATGGGGGAGCAAATGAGTAGAGGTGGGCAGGGAGCAGTGAAGTATTGGCAGAAGTCTCCTCCTGAAAGCAGCCTGTGGACACTTTTGGTTTCCCAATCACAATCTCTTGGCTCACCTGATTTCAGCTGCAGCTGCTGTGGATAGTTTGTGTGAGCTCAGCCCCCTTGCTGGCAGCATTGCATCTGGAGAAATTTCTATTTTTCAGCTCTCTGTCTTGGAGATTTATCTAGAGCCTTGGGAAGCCATTCAGCCTTCCAGCAAGATGGCGATGCTCAACCAATGTGGAGGGGAAGCTGGTGGATATTATGGCTGTGTCTTGGGTAACTTCCATTGACAGTGTCTTTGGTTTTTTTTCTCTGGGGCTGCTAACATTCCCTAAAGACTATCTGCTTCTCTTCTGCCATCTGGTAGCTGAAGTGGGAAGAAGGAAAACTTCTCCATATTTTATGTAATTTCCTGTTCTCAACTGGGGAATCAGTCACAGTGATTAAAAAAATCTTTCATGTCCTTAACAATGTTCCCTAAAACTACACGGCCTTAACAAGCAACTATTGGATATTCTGTAAGTGGAAGTTACAGTGCTAATCTCTGTGTTTCTGTGCATAACACCAAGATGTGGGCCCTGACTTTGCATTGCGGACCATGTCTTTTGACTGGAAAAATGCATCACATTCATTATAAACATGAAAATAATAGTTTATATTTAAACATAGATATATGTGAAAACATCTTGATAACATTGTTCTAGCATCAGAATTAGCTATCAATTGTACTGACATTTAAAATCCTTTTTTTATTTTGAAAAATTCAATGTCCTAGGAATAGCACAATGAATGCTCTTTTATCCTTCACCTAGATTCACCAATTGTTCTTTTTGGCCCATTTTCTCCCCCTCTGTCTCTCTCTGTATTTCCCCTTATCTGTGTCTGTCCTTCACATGTGTATATATATGTGTATACACATACACACAGACATGTACACATGTATTTGCTGAATCATTTGAGAGTAAGCCATGACGTCACCTTTTGCGTGCATCTACACAGACAAATGTATATTTTTAAATATAACTACAGTACAATGATCAAAATCAGGAAATTTAACATGGTTGCAATGGTCTTATCCAGAATACATATCCAAATTTTGCTAATTTCTTCAATAATGTCTTTCATAGCAATATTCTTCCCCATCCAGTATCCACTACAGGAGTAGGCATTTTATTTAATTAAAAAAATTTTTGCCAGATGCAACGGCTCACACCTGTAATCCCAACACTTTGGGAAGCCCAGGTGGGTGGATCACTTGAGGTCAGGAGTTTGAGACCAGCCTGGCCAACATGGTGAAACCCCATTTCTACTAAAAATACAAAAATTAGCCGGGTATGGTGGTGCATGTTTGTAATCCTAGCTACTTGGGAGGCTGAGGTGGGAAGATTGCTTGAACCCAGGAAGCGGAAGTTGCAGTGAACCGAGATTGTGCCTCTGCACTCCAGCCTGGGTGACAGAGCAAAACTGTGTCTCAAAAAAAAAAAAACATTTTTTTTTTCTTTTCTCACTCCCACCTTCATCACAGTTCTCAGGTCTCTTATTTAATTTTTTAATCCTTTTAGTCTGCTTTAATCTGGACAATTTCATCAACCTGTCCTTTTTTGGTCTTTCATGACATTGATATTTTTGAAGAATACAGGCCAAGTGTTTATATAATCTGACACTTGTAAAAAGAAGTTTTAAAATAGCAAATCTGAGACTGGGTATACAGTTGGCCCTCGTATTTACGGGTTCTGTATCCTCAGATTCAACCAACTGTGGATGGAAAATGTTTGGGAGAAAAAAGTCAATCAAACTAAGATAAATTCAAAAAATACAGTTTAATAACTATTTATATAGCATTTACATTGTATTAGATATTATAAGTAATCTAGAGATGATGTAAAGTATATGGGAGGATGTGCGTAGGCTATATGCAAATTCTATGCCATTTTATATAAGGGACTTGAGCATTTGAGAATTTTGGTACCAATCCCTTGTGGATGCCAAGAGATGACTGTACTTCATATCTATAGACATGATTGTAGTTTCTTTAGATTGTGTCAGTTTGTGGCTTGAATTTTACAAACATCCCTCTGTCTTCAAAGTACTCTGTGCTTCATGTATGTATGTGTGTATATACATATAAATATATGTATATATATTTAAATTAAGAGGAAATAAATGAATTTAGGGCTTTGAGACACTCCCTGATACAATTAGGGTCAGTCATACAATTAGGAATCAATTGTCGATTTTGAAATGCAGACCACATAGATTTTAACACTTTGGCAGATTAATTAATTTAACAACCTATGTTAAGAAGACATGGTCGGGTGCGGTGGCTCACGCCTGTAATCCCAGCACTTTGGGAGGCCGAGGTGGGCTGATCACGAGGTCAGGAGATCAAGACCATCCTGGCTAACACGGTGAAACCCCATCTCTACTAAAAACACAAAAAATTAGACGGGCGTGGTGGTGGGCGCCTGTAGTCCCAGCTACTCGGGAGGCTGAGGCAGGAGGATGGCGTGAACCCAGGAGGCGGAGCTTGCAGTGAGCCGAGATTGCCCTGCTGCACTCCAGCCTGGGCAACAGAGCAAGAGTCTGTCTCAAAAAAAAAAAAAAAAAGACACACCTAAAAACAAAACGTATGGTAATACATAAAATTAAAATTGTATCAAGAAACTGATTTTTGAAGACTAAAATTTAAAAATTTTGATTGCATATTTAGAGAATAAGATTGAATAAGATTGTTGATTTTATATAGTATGCACGAACAACGATATATGGTAACCTACTTTTTATGTGATTTCCCCTTAGAACTAAAATCCCAGTTATAATGAAGAAAAAGGATATTACTCATTAAAAAATATGTTCCAATATCCAAAGCACAGAAGGTAAGCTACGTTTATATATAGCAGTGCGGTTCCCTCAGCTTTGCCGTTGAGCATATTCCAGTTGAACCAAAGCTCAATTGTTGTAATGTCATTGAGGAACAATCTACAGAAGTTTCCCCTTAAGAATTTTGATTTTCAGAACAAAATGAAAGACAACATGAGACCAAAATGGATAAGCAAGACAAAGAGCTGTCAGAGGTGCTTAATCTCTGGACTCCTACAGGTTAATGGACCCGGAACCAGGAATTACTGCTATTGAAGACAACAGATAAGTTATATTTATTCTATAAGCCTCGAAGTGTGGAATTTCCTTATTTGTTCTGTAATTGTTGTGTGTAAGTCTAGTATGATGGGATTAGAGAGACTCAAGCATGCATTCATTCCTGCCTTTGAATAATATTGAGCTCCAAATTGTTTCCCATGTGCTTTTTCAGACATAGGTGATGTATGAACATTCAAAAATATGTCTACCTTGCTCCTCAGCCTGTTATACTATCTTAATTACATTATAATCAGTGCATTATAATTATGGCTAATTTCAGAAAGTTTCTGCTTTGTTTTAAAACTGTATTGCTAACTCAAGGCTCTACATTGAATGCCTCAGTATTTGTTGCAATTGTTGGTACTAACATCGGGAACTGAATTATCAAAGTGTCTGCCTGATTCAGAGAAATAGAAACCCTCTCGATAATCTGTGCAGTGTTCCAGATCAAAGGAGGGATCGAAACTGCTGTTCACAGTCGTTGCTCAGGGAGCACTATTATTCATTTTGAACTGAAACTATGGGAAGACACTGTATAACATAAGTTTGTAGAATGTGTAATTTAACATGAGATAGTATTATCAAAAGGGAAATCATAGAGTTGTAATTAGCTCCAGGTATTATTACTAATCTTTTTGACCCTTTCTTATACTGCTGAGGTGACTTTCCAACAGGAAGATAACATTGATAATTATTTATTTAAATGAAAAATAGTAAAGCAATTCACAACAATTTAACATTTTTGATGTGTGACACTTATTTATGGAGCTAGTGCAAGTATGAAAGTGACTCTGTGGTCACATACATGAATAATTCACCCAATTACCTCATTCTCGTTCTTCCTAATTCTAATAGAACTGTAGAAACTGAAATATGACTTCTTATTCAATGTGAATTAGTACCTTCAAGTGAACTAAAAATACAAGTTGTCTAAAATATATTTTTGGTTTGTCTGTGTGAATGGAAGGATAAAGACAAGGGAGGAACTGAAATCGCCTTTTTTCTTGAGAGGTCAGAGGTGAAACTTAGACACATTGAAGGGCTTCAGATATATCGCAAAGATAACATCAGCAGCAGAAAGTCCACAGCCTCCCTTCATTTTCCATTAAATGTTCTTCTTGTTTTACTTTTTAGTCTCTCTCTCTCTTTTTTTTTTCTGTGATAGCAGCAGCATATAACTCAGAATAAGCTTTTCCATGATATTTGAGAACTGAAGTTTTAGGAAGGTGTTCAATGAAGTAAAACCCAAAAGAAGGCTTTACTGGAAAGAATGTCTGATTTCTGAATTAATAGTAGGAAAAAGAGTTGGAGGATGGGGGGAATATTTAAAAGATGTTTTTAAACGTTTTGAGTTTGGGATCACTTCGGCAAGTTAAAATACTTTCTTCCTTGCTAATTATTTTTCTTTACTTTTCTTATTAACTTTTCCTGTTTTCACTTCCTGCCACATGATGTTATATTGACTCTATCAGCAAGATTACACACACACTCTGGTGAAAGAGATGGGCATGGTTGGCATTGCATGAAGACTGTTGTGGCTATAGTCCAGCATAGAATGTCATGGGAAAATAAGATGAAGGATCCCACCTGAGGACCCTCTATCCCATAGGCCAGGGGTTGGCAAATTATAGTTCACTGGCTAAATCCCACACTCACCTTTCTCTGTGTGTGTGTGAGCAAAGATTTGTTTGCCATACCCATCTATTTACATATTATCTGTGGCTGTTTTCAGAGCAATAGCAGAATTGAGCAGCTATAACAGAGACCATATTGCCTGCAAAGAATAGAATTTTTATTTTAATTTTTTGAGCTTAAAACATTTTTTTAATTGGGGTAAGAACAGTTAACACAAGATCCACATCTCTACATCTCTCAGTGTACAATACAGTGTTGTTATCTATAGGCACAATATTGTCCAGCAGATTTCCAGAACTTATTCATGGGCTAAGAATATTTAACAAGAACTACCCTCTTAATAAATTTCTAAGTGTGCAATACATTACTGTTGACTCTAGATACAATGTTGTACAACAGATTTCGTCTAGAACTTATTCATCCTGCTTGACTGAAACTTTATGCCCATTCATTAGTTACTCCCCATTTCCCCTGCCCCCAGCCCCAGCCCCTGGCAACAGCCATTCCACTCTTTGATTCTATGAATTTACTATTTTAGATACCTCATATAAGTGGAATCATGCAGTATATTTAGCTCTCTATGATTGGCTTATTTCCAGATGTTGCTCATGGATTGCAGGTGTGCCAAAGATATTGGTCTATAGGCCATGGCTGGCCTCTTATAGGATCACAAGGGGTCACAGTCTAGGGCAGGACATAATTTGAGTTATATTTTAAAAGATCATTTGGGCAGATTAATGATGATTTTAATACAGAATGGATTTCCTCTCAATCTCAGAGACTACTTTGTAATAACAAAAATGACCATTTTGATCACACTTCATAGTTTACAATGTAATTCAGGGTGGTCTCAAAAGGCATTTCCAGCTGGAAAATGTTACTTTAGAAGAGACGGTACCTCTGAATTAAAGGCATTTGTCTAAGTGTATGTGTTTGTATGTATTTAGTACCCTTTTCTTCAAGTAACTAAATATCTAGGTTCACTAAGGGGATTTAAAAATGTATTTTTTAAATATCCTTTGTGCAACCCTATTGTACCATGCTTAAACAAACATTATATAAAAAAATCTAGACCAGATAAATTAGTACAGGGGCCCAAGATATTCAACAAGTAGTTGATTCGAGATATTGATCTTCCCTCTTGCACCTAAATAGGATCCCACTGACAATTCGTTGCAAGTCGTGTTTTCAGAACATTTCTGTTGCTTTCAGCAAGGCATGCCTGCAGGCTAGCCAGTTCATAACTGGCAAGTGCATGCTTGAATGTAAACTAGAAGTAATAAACAGTGGCCCACTGCCCATCTCTCATAGGGATAGAGAGTGTTGACTCTTTAGTGGTATGTAGAACAGGGCCAAACAGAACACCGGTCTTGGGAATTGGGCCCATGGCTAGGTCTTCGGATTCCTTTCTGCAAATATCTGCCCTGGAACTTAGACCCATAACAGGATCCCCGGAACTATTTTAGGAGAAGCCCAGAGCCAGATCAGTTGGGCCCAAGATGCACTGAAAATCCCCTGTGTTTTTTAGATATCTGGGGATTTCTGCAGACTTGAGTCTTATCTGATAACTCTGGATTGCTATTAATCCAATTGGGATTGAGACAATATTTGGGCTGACATGATGTGCTAACCCTGTTCTCACCCATAAAATACACACATATACACACATCAGTGTGGAAGCACGTGGGCATTTGGAACTTGAAGAGACTGTTGGCCACCATGTGGGGGCTCCCAAAACCTGCGGGGAAGTGAGCTGGGGCTGTAATCCCCCCATAGGATAAATTGATCAGGCCCACTTCAGACAATTGTGTGGTTCGGCCAAAATTACAAATGGAGCTTGAGAACCACTCCATCCCTAACGTTCCCACTACTGTGAGGGACTTTGTGTACATATACCCTCTCCCCAGCTGGCATGTAACTTTTTGGGCATAAGGGTACCAGAGAGGTCTTCCCTAGGAAAGACAGATGCAGGAAGAGGCCCACACAAGCCCTGCTCAGGATTTCTGGGCTTCTGTGTACCCACGATGTGGTCTACAAGAGCAGATGTGGGCTCTGGGTGGGCCTGTCCTCTTGGCCTACAGACTACTTGCCCCGTGGGGAGCCACATAATTAGAGGAGGTCTAGAGCTCTCTGAAGCTTGGGGCCCAGGACAGGGGTCAGTGGTGACTAAGTTCAAGAGTGGTTAAGGACAACATTTCTCAATTGACATTTGGGGTTAGATACTGCTTTGTTGTGAGAGCTGTCCTGTGCATTGTAGCATGTTTAGCAGCATTCCTGACCTCCACCCACTAGATGCCAACAGCATCCCCCTAGTTGTGATAGTCAAAAGTATCCATGTACCCTAGAACTTAAAGTGTAATAATAATTTTTTAAAAAGGTATCCATAGACAATGTTCGGCAAACATGGCCAAATGTCCCCTGGAGGGCAAAACCACCCCTGCTTGAGAACCGCGGTTCTACACTGGATACCACTTAGTCCTAGCATGTGACAGTCTCACCTGTTGACCCAGAAGTGAGTCAGCCTTCACTGGGCTTTTAAAACAAGTGTAAAATGCAAAGTGAGGCAGCTCCTTTATATTATATGCCATATCATAATTGTGCATAATGGTGGTTCTAGCCTTGCAAGAGTTTGTTCACAATCGCAATGGGAGGTAAAATCAGAGATCTGTGTTCCCATATTGTATCAGGCTGATATTAGGGAAGAATTCACTATGCAGGTGACCAGTATTTTAGAACCAAATATCCAAGAAAAATTGTCATTTCGCGCACTGATTCTATAAAATGCATTCAATGAAACCATGATTTTCATTCCATTAACTCATAAGAAAATCAATTTGGTGTTATAAATCCAAAGTTGTGAATAGGATGCAAATGTTAAGAATATAAAGAAATGTAGCCATAAAAAAGAATGAGTTTATGTCCTTTGCAGGGACACGGATGAAGCTAGAAGCCATCATTCTCAGCAAACTAACACAGAAACAGAAAACCAAACACCAAATGTTCTCACTCATAAGTGGGAGTTGAATAATGAGAACTCATGAACACAGGGAGGGGAACATCACACACCAGGGCCTGTCGGGGGTTGGGGGCAAGGGGAGGGAAAGCATTAGTGCAAATACCTAATGCATGTGGGGCTTAAAACCTAGATGAAGGGTTAATAGGTGCAGCAAACCACCATGGCACATGTACACCTATGTAAAAAACCTGCACATTCTGCACATGTATCCCAGAACTTAAAGTAAAAAAAAAAAAAAGAATAGAAGGAAATACTTCCCACCAAACTCAAGATTAATGAATGTTACATTTAATCCCAATTTCAGCATGTGGCTAACTCCTAGAAACTAGAGTCCACTTGAAATCATGTTTCTATGATCCCCTCAATAAAATAATATAAAAATAATTAATAAGGTACCCACTTGCCCCAAATGAATCAAATTTACATTATTGAGTTTTGCTTCTTTTTTCCTTTTATTCTTCTTTTGTGAAAGTGCATATTAAAGAAGAAATTTCATTTCAATTAGTCAGGAAAATATAGGCAGTGGTTAACCAAGTATGGCCGATGGGCCAAATCCAGCCAGCCCTGTGCTTTGTAAATAAAGTTTATTAGAACACAATCATGCACATTCATTTACATATTTTCTATGACTTGAATAGTTGTGATCAACTGAGACTGAATGGCCCACAAAGCTGAAAATATTTACTATCTGCCCTTTATGTGAAATTTTTTTGACCCCTGATATAGGAGATTCGGGGATGTAGGGTGTCACTACAGAGGGCTTCCAAATATTTAAATTCGTAGTTACAACAAGCCACAGACCCTTTTAGCAACTGTATACTCAAGTCCTCATTTCATGTTCATGAGGGTTGTAGTAGTTATTTTGGTAATTTTCTGAATGGGCCATAGTACGAGTGATCTGATTTTTGTGTTAGCTACTTGGGCACCAACCCATTGGTTGAGGTGTAGGGTGTTGTATTTCTCAATGGATGAATCCACGTTACTTATTTACTAGATGATTGTCACAGGGGGATCTTGGTTAAACATACCATTGCATTCTGATAAAATTATCTCACATCCAATTATACCTTTTTAAATGATGTGTCAATAAAATGTATCAAGCATTGAAATGGATCATGGAATAAGCAATTCTCTCTTTTTCTTAAAAGCTCTTGATATTTGAACATTGCTTGTATTTTCTTAATACCAAGAAATAATTTCAGATGGGTTCTTTAGTGTATTCATATGGAAGGAGGGCAGGCAGCTGTTTGGAGGTCCACCATTTGTCACTAAGATGATTGTCCTGTTATTTCATGGCATTTTTAAATTCTGATTTTTCTTTTCTGATTCGGGGAAAGTCAGTGATAGAATTATATTATGATGCTTCTGTGCAAATGCACAGGATGTTGTCTCAAGTTATCTATAATAGTTTTGAATACTGTGCTTGAGAGGATTTAAGAACTGTAGAAAACATAATTTTAAAAAATTTTAGGACCCCAGTCTTCTTTAACAAATGTGCTATATAGTACTTATATATCATAGACTTATGGCTTTACTATACTTAATAGTTTATCACACTATTAGTATTATCATGTGTAATATAACATTAAGTATCCCTAATATAAATGTGTATATATGTATGGGTGTGTATAAACTGTATGTGCTTATAGGTGTATGTTTATTGTACAATGTGTGAAAAGCAATAATCTATAAACAAAATTGATGGTAAGACCTTGACATAGGAAACTGCCTGTCAAGGTCAGATGTTTCTTTTTTATGTAACTGAACTTGGTTATCCTGACTCCGCTATCTTTGCGAAGCTTAGAAAATGCTAATTGTGTAAAATGAAACATTCATTACTCTGCTTGCTTAGAACTTTTAGAGATAGATTTCTTCCTTTCTTTTACATTGTATTCTCAACTTTTTACTTTGACTAACTCTCCAAATCATCATACATTGCACCCATCCCAACTGTCCCAACTGTCCATTCCCAACTTTTTCAATGCTGTCTTCTATGAAGCTAGCCTTGGAGGCAGCATTCTCATGAACTCCCCTGGTTGGCAATGAGAGTATGCCGGCCTCGTCCCAAACACAGTGTCCTTTGGTCCCAATCTCTTATTTCTATCTGTTGAGTATTTCCTAATAATTCATGACTAGCCCAAACCCACCCCCACTGACAGAAGAGTTACTCAAACACAAGCTGAATGTTGATGTTGTCTTTGTTTTCTATATTGCTCTTCTAAAGAACGTACCTCCCGACCGGGCACGGTAGCTCATGCCTGTAATCCCAGCACTTTGGGAGGCCAAGGTGGGTGGATCATTTGAGGTCATGAGTTTGAGACCAGCCTGACCAACATAGTGAAACCTTGTATCTACTAAAAATACAAAATTAGCCAGGCGTGGTGGTGCGTGCCTGTAATCTCAGCTATGTGGGAGTCTGAGGCTGGAGGATAGCTTGAACCTGGGAGTCAGAGGTTGCAGTGACGAGATCATGCCATTGAACTCTAGCCTGGGCAACCAGAGTGAAACTCTGTCAAAAAAAAAAAAAAAAAGCTATACTAGAGGTCCGAGGGAGGTGCGTTTTTGTTTGTTTGTTTTTGTTTGTTTGTTTGTTTTTGAGACAGGGTCTTACTCTGTCGCCTAGGCTGGAATGCAGTGACTCGATCTCGGCTCACTACAACCTCTGCCTCCTGGGTTTAAGCCATTCTTGTGCCTCAGCCTCCAGAGTAGTTGGGATTACAGGCATGTGTGCCACCATGCCCGGCTAATTTTTGTATTTTTAGTAGAGACAGGGTTTCGCCACGTTGGCCAGGATGGTCTCGAACTCCTGACCTCAAGCAGTCCACCTGCCTCGGCCTCCCAAAGTGCTGGGATTACAAGCATGAGCCTCTGCACACAGCCTAACATAGTTTCTTTAACTTGTATGTTCATTTCCTCCCCGACTCCCAAACTGTGAGCTGACTGAGTGGAAGAACTGTCTCAATTATCTTTGTATGCCCCCAGGGGGATGTCTCTGCACACAGTTGGGGACAAGTGAACATTTGTAGAATGAAAAAATAATTCAAAATAACTTTTAAGCCTCTTATATTGGAAAGAAAGTGTAAGCAGTGGGTTTTCTTCCATGCCAATTTGACTGACCCAGTCCCTGATGCTAAAATCTAGCAAAGGTCATGGCATTTCCTAGCTGGAGAGGAATTTTAGGCCATGCACTCTAGTCATTTCAGTTAACCATCAAGAAATGTGAGACTAAGAGAGGAAAAGAAAAATAAACGTTTATACAGTACCAACTGTATGCTAGATCAGTGCTTTGCAAATGTCAAATCTTCATGGTAACCTCTTGCGTACTCACCACTTGCTATGAGGAATAGAAGCATAAAGTGAGAAATCATGGCATGGTTGACTTCAAGTGACAGGTGGAGCCTAATTACAGAGCTGAGCAGAGTGGGTTCTGTGGAGCCTCAAAGCCATGCTCATTTCCTTGCATCCTTCCCAGGCAGCCCCTGTCTTGTCTTAGTTTGGGCTGCTATAACAAAGTACCACCTACTGGGTGGCTTATGAACAACAGAAATTTATTTCTCATGGTTCTGGAAACTGAGTGGCTTATGAACAACAGAAATTTATTTCTCATGGTTCTGGATATTGGAAGTCTGAGAGCAGAGTGCTAACATGTTAGGATTCTGGTGGGAGCCCTCTTCTGGGACTGCTGACTTTTCTTTGTGTCCCTAAAGTAGCAGAGAGAGGATGAGGCAACTCTTTGGTGTCTCTTTTATATAGGCACTAATCAATTCATGAGGGCTGGGTCCTCATGACCCAAACACCTCCCAAAGGCCCCACCATCTAATATCACCACATTGGGGGTTAAGATTTCAACGTATTAATTTGATGGGGATTAGTGGGGATACAAACTTTCAGTTCATAGTAGCCCCTAAGTACAAGAACATTGTGTTGCCTGATATTAACTTAAAATCACATAATATCTAACTAACCATTTATGAGAAATACAGAAATAGAGAAGTATGTCACAACATATGACAAGGAAATCATCAGCCATATCCAGAATTAGGGAAATACTACAGGGCAAATTTATGTGTTATTTCTTCAACACATAAATGGCGTTTAAAAATGGATAGGGGCTGGGCGTGGTGGCTCATGCCTGTAATCCAGCATTTTGGGAGGCCAAGGTGGGCAGATTGCATGAGGCCAGGAGTTCGAGACCAGCCTGGCCAACATGGTGAAACCCCGTCTCTACTAAAAATGCAAAAATTAGCTGGGTGTGGTGGTGCATGTCTGTAATCCCAGCTACTTGGGAGGCTGAGGCATGAAAATTGCTTGAGCCTGGGAGGCAGAATTTGCAGTGAGCTGAGATGGCATCACTGCACTCCGGCCTGGGCAATGGAGCGAAACTGTCTAAAAAAAAAAAAAAAAGATAGGGACCATTATATAATACATGACTTATAACTTGTGAACCAACTGTAAAAAGAAAATAATTTGAGAAAACTGGGGAAGTTGAACATGAACTGGTACTAAATATTGTTACTGGTACTAAGAATTGTTGTGAGTTCTTTTTGGTATAAAACTATTATTTTGGTTATGTTTTAAAAATAATGTGTTACAGATACATGTTTAAATGATTATAGGTGGAAAGATATAGTGTCTGTGACTTACTTAAAAACACTCAGATGTGTTCTTCTCTTTGTACAATTAAAAGCATTTGTTGTTGCTGCTGTTGGTATTTGGTTTTTGTTGTTGTTTTTGTTTGTTTTTTAGCCATAATACCCAGAGCCATTAAATTGGTCTGGCTTTAAGTTCAGATACCAGTTCTACCATGGATTCTGAGGCAAGATGAAAATTCCTCATATGTGTTTAATATGACTGCATGTTACAAAAAAATCGAATTTCTCTAAAATCAAAAGTGTTTGTGGACTGATGCACTCAAGTGTAATGGAAACACTCCACTCCTCCCCTGGGAGGCAGCTGTCATTGTGGGGCCACAGTGGCCCATGCTCACTGCAAACCCTCCAAGGTTACCTGAGATGTCCCATTTGGAAGCATCTCTTTAACCCAAAGCAAGAATGTCTCCCTTCTATAGTGTGGTCATAGTGTCAATGAAAAAAGCCAAACTCTCAATCTGAGCCAAATATGATAACTGTGGCCCAAGGCACAGTCTCATGAGGTCCTGAGAAAATGTGCCCAACATGTTTGGGTTACAGCTTGGTTTTATATGCTTTAGGGAGACATAAGGTATCAATAGATACATGTGAGGTATACATTGGTCCAGAAAGGTGGGACGACTTGAAGGAGGGAGACAACTTGAAGGGAGGGGAGTTCTGATTGGCAATTCATTAGTTGAAAGAATTAAGTTATTATCTAAAGAGACCTGAAATCGATAGAACAGAGTGTCTAGGAAAGGATAAGGGATTGTGGAGACTGAGGTTATTATTATGTAGATGAAGTCTCATAGGTGGCTGCCCTTAGAGACAATTGATGGGGTAAATGTTTCCTATTTAGATCTTTAAGAGGAGCTAGAATCTCAGTTAATCTCTTTAGGACTGGGAGGGATCTGGAAAGGGAAAGTTCTCCTTATTTTAATGGAGATTCTTTACAGATGCAAATTTTCCCCCACAAAAGTTGGCTTTGAAGGCTATTTTAAAATATGCCAAAGAAACACATTTTGATTTCCTTCTTTATCTGTCCTGTGATGTTATACTAGAGTCAGGTTGGAATTTGGTCTCTTATTGCTACATAGAGTCTGTTTCGGCCAGGTGCAGTGGCTCACACACTTTGAGAGGCCAAGGAGGGAGGATTGCTTAAGCCCAAGGAGTTAGCCCTGGCATTGTAGTGAGATCCTGTCTCTACAAAAAATTAAAACTTAACCAGTTGTGGTGGCACATGCCCATGGTCCCAGCTACTTGGCAGGCTGAAGTAGGAGGATTGCTTGAACCCAGGAGGTCAAAGCAGCAGTGAACTGTGGTTGTGCCATTGAACCATAGCCTGGGCAATAGAGCAGACCCTGCCTCAAAAAAAAAAAAAAAAAAAAAAAAAAAGGAGAATCTGTTTTGTCAGTCTTAAGCTCTGTTTTAAGGTTAAAGCTGGAGAATTGTCCCTGAACTCCAAAAGGGAGAGGGTACAATGAAGCATGTCTGAATCCCCCCTCCCATCATGGCCTGCATTAGTTTTTCAGGTTTCTCTGGAATCCCCCTTGGCTGAGAGGGAGGTCCATTCAGTCAGTTGAGGGGCTTAGAATTTTATTTTTGGTTTCAGAAGCTTGGAAGTGAGTAAAACTTACAGGCAAAATGGCAGCTTATCTTCAAGGATTTTTGAAAGCCCTTCCTTGTATATATATAGCTGAGGAATGTGCAAATACATGGATCATTTACCCAAATGCTGCCTAAGAAACCCTAAGAAATCCTATCTCTTTCTCAATACTTTTTCTGAGGAGTTGTTACTGGAAAAGGGTCCGGATCCACACCCCAAGAGGGGGTTCTTGCCCATTTTTATGGTTATTTCTTGATTATGCTAAACAAAGGGTGGATTACTCATGCCTCTTCTTTTTAGACCATATAGGGTAACTTCCTGACATTGCCATGGCATTTGTAAACTGTCATGATGCTGGTGGGAGTGTAGCAGTGAGGACAACCACAGGTCACTCTCGTGGCCATCTTGGCTTTGGTGGGTTTTAGCCGGCTTCTTTACTGCAACCTTTCATCAGCAAGGTCTTTAAGACCTATGTCTTGTGCTGGCTTCCTATCTCATCCTGTGACTTAGAATGCCTAACCATCTGGGAATGCAGCTCAGTAAGTGTCAGCCTTATTTTACCCAGATCTGATTCAAGATGGAGTTGCTCTGGTTCAAACACCTCTGACAGAGTCAGTGGAGAAGGAAAGGAAAGAAGTGATTCACTTCCTGCTGCCCTTTTCGCATAGAAGTACAACTGTCCAGCTCCTTAATGAAATGTAGAGAGACAGAAATTGAGGGCAGGGAGACAAGATTTTCTAAGGCTACCAGGGTTTGAGACCAGAATCTTCTCTCCTGGGGTGAAGGAAGGGAATCCCCAATTTCTAAACTAAAACCCACATTTAGTGCTCTAAAGATCAGCGTTTCTCAATCTATAATGTGTACCCAAATATCTTGGAAAATCTTGTGAAGATGCATATTCTGATTCAGCACTTCTGGGAAGGGGCCCAAGATGCTACATTTCTAACAAGCTTCCAGAGGATGAGCTGCTGCTTGTCCACAGACCACACCTTGAGTAGTGGGGTTACACGGTCACTTTTAGAGGTTGCATACAATTTTATTTGTCTCTTTCTAGAATCAGATCTTTATTATATATCATTTGTGAAAACTTATCTGCTGGCCTTAGTGGGTGTTCTCTGCAAATGAGTCTGCTGATAACTTTGTGTTAAATAAATGGTGACTGTTCAAAACCAAATACATTACAAGCCTGCAGAAAGGATTGGAGGATGAAGTGCTGAGTAGGGCCTGGAGATGAACATTTGCTAAACTCTAGACCTTTATTTTCATACATTTTCTCAAGTAAGCCTTATAAAAGTTCTCTTAGCTATGAGTGTTATTGTCCCCATCTCATATAATAAAACTCTGAACCACAAGCTTACAACCATCAGAGCAAAATGTGAGAAATTCTACAGGAAAAATGACCCAGTTTCTTTTATAAAAAGAATGGCATGAAAAAAAGGAGGAGGGGCAGAAACTGTTATAGATGAAGAGACTTAAGGGACATATCAAACTACAATATCGGATTTTGTTTAAAATCTGATTTAACCAAAAAACCCATCAGTAGACATTGCTGAGACATTTGGTAAAATGGAACATAAACTGAGTATTAGGTATTAAGGAACTGTTGCCCATTTTGTTAGGTGTGGTCCTGTTACTAAGCTATAAAACAGAGTCCTTATCAGTCAGAGAACAAATGGTGAAATTATATCCTGTCTGATTTGCTTTAAGATACTTGAGAAAAGAAACAAAAAAGAGAGTAGGAGGAGTAGATGAAACAAGAATGGCAGAATGTTGATAAATATTATTTTAAAAGCTTTTTTTTTGAAACTTTGAAACACTTTGAGAGTTACAGAGAAGTTGTACTTTTTTTAAGCACAGAGGGCCCAAATACACACTGCCTAGTTTCCCCTAATGTGATGTCTTACATAACCATGGTACAATAATCAAAACCAGGAAATTAACAAGGTAGCACTATTAACTGACCTAGACATGTTATCTAATTTCACCTTTTCTTCCTACGAATGTCATTTTTCTTTTTCAGAATCCAACCCATGGTCCTCCCACGTTGCGTTTACTTCTCATGTCCCCTTGGGCTACTCTGATCTGTGACAGTCCCTTGGCCTTTCCTGACTTTTGTGTCCCTGACACTTTTGAAGAGCACTCATTATTTCTTTTGTAGACTCTCCCTCAATTTGCACTTGCTTGATTTTTTTTTTCATGATTACATTGAGATTATGCTAATAATTATTATGGATGGGTGATGTATATCTAGGTTTTTCTTATATTATTCTCTCTACTTCTGGGCATTTTTGAAATTTTCCATAGTAGAAGTAACATTTTTTTTTAAATAAAGCAGAGTGAGGTTATATAACTTTCTAAAATTGACTTAGTTACTAACTAAGCACAGCTGGGATTATAACCTAGAGTAGTTTGACTAAAAAATTGGTGACCTTTACATTGCAAACAATATGATGCAGAATAAATGATCTTTAATCAAGGGTTTATTCATAAGCAGCCCTTGCAGGGAGAATTTCTACTGCTCAGAACATAATTAATCAAGCCCCAATTTATGGGTATATACCAATAATGAATACATTAGGTCAAGGTTGAATGCTATCTTTTACAATGCCTTAGTTAGGAATAATTTAGTTTGTATGGGAAACTAAGACCCATGTAAATAAGCTAAAATAAATATTGAATATATAGTGGAAGGGAGTAATATGGAATTCAATGATATGAGAATAACCAGCTTCCTATTGGACAAGAATTGAGAAAAAGAAAACTCTGGGTATTCCCTTCTCTCTCTCTATCTCTCTCTCTCTGTCTGTACTTCTCTGGAGACACATGGACCAGACGATTTTCTGCTTCTCTCTATGTGACAGCTTTATCATCCCAGTTCTCTCTATAATCATCCTTCAACCTTTGTGGCCATAAAAAAATAAATGGCTGTTTCATCTTGAGGCTGCATGACCAAATTATAGGCTTCTTCATTCAAAATCCTGAATTATATAATCAAATTTTTTCTATCTTGTGTGTTAAATGACCATGCTAGTCCAATGAGCTATGAACATTGACAGGTGAGCCTACCTGTTACCTGTGGCTATGGGGGAGGGGGGTTGGGGAAAGGGTGAGATTAGGCTAGGCTAGGAAGAAGCAAGTAAACTAGTACCTCAGTTCCATAGAATCAGCCATTGATGAATTTTGTCTATATTTTCTTGATTCTAAATCCTTAGAAGAGATTACAGTTGCTGATTCCCGGTTTTCACTGTTGCAAAAGGAAAAAGAAATCTACTGACACTAGGTGATGTGAGCTGCTTGAACACCCCAGAATTTTATACTAAGCAATAGGCATGGTGCTAAGTTCTTTGGGCAGGTTGGCATTGTCCTTACTGTCAAGGAGATCAGAACCTAGTAGAAGAGACAATCGTATACATGAAAAATGACTGTGCTATGTGATTAGTACTGCAACAGGAACATATGCAAGGTTCGTAGATCCAACATAGGAGGGAAAGTCTTCAGAAAGAAGGGGATGTCTGGGCTGGAATGTGAAGGCCAAGTATGGAGTGAAACACTCCTCTAAAATGATTCTCCTTACGAGGTTGACCCTCAGTCCACCATCTTGAATCTGTAAGGAAAGCTAAGAGATGACCCTCACCAGCTGGAGCAGAAGGCTCAGTTATGCAGGCTCTCCTGTCTTCTGCCATCTTACCTCCAGAATTATGTTCTGGATATTTGTATGTCTCCTGCTTTTCTGATGGTGGACATATTTGAAGTTCATTCTTATTGATTAGGCTTTTTCCTTGACTACTTAAAAATACAAGTCTGTTCAGATATGAGGCTCTCTTGGATGACATCACTGTGTTGTCCAGTTTGGGGCAGTCTGTCTGAATAATCCCCACACTTTCAGTGACAATATGAGTTGAAGACTCCCTGGCGATTTTACCTCTTTCTTTTTTATATTGTGAAATTGAAATGTGTAGAGTGAGAAGAGCTCTTTCATGATAAATAGTTTGATCAATTGTCCTGGTCTTAGAAAAGCACATATAAAAAGGGAGCTGGATGTAGAAAAGTAAAATGTATCCCAGCTTACGAATTCTTAGAACAAGAGTGTGGACATGAGTCTTTCATTGTGCCTCAAAGAATTCTTTTTAACTACCAGGTTGTTGAATTTCAGGGTGGAGGATGGATTTGGTTACTTACCAGGAGTGCTGGGTGGATGGGGGATGTATGTATACATACACCCTGCTCTTATTGTCAACTTGTGCATAACCAGAAGTCATAATGTTTAGAGTAGAAATATGGGTAAAACACAGCTGGATTTATTATAGAACAATGCAATAGCCACACCTTTCTTCCTATAATATGCACAAGTGATGCCAGGAAAGTACTAAACAAATGAAGTCAGAGTTTAAAGTGAGCATATTGATTTACTAGCCTAGGATCCATTGGCCATCTGGCACAGACAATAAAAGGAAACCCATTAGAAAGAAACTTCTGAAACATTCAAACATTGTGCCTTGGCTTAAAAGAAGAGGACAGCAGAACCAGTTCCTACTTGGACTGCAGTTTGTTTATTCTGCTGATTTGAAATAAGAACCAGTGAGCCAAATGGTTTTGACTGGCTGTAGCATTTCTTTGTTTCTGTACACTTGGGCTGGGCCAGTTTCTGCAAATGAGCCTTTGCAGATATCACAGGACTTTCTTCTTTAGTTTTAAGGACCTTCAAAATTTCTGGGAAATCATTCCTGAAGCCATGTCTTCTCCAAAATGCTACACTAGGGTCATGGAGAAGAAAACATATTATTTAATTTATAACCATTTACATAATCTCTGCTGCTGTGAAGATAGGATGGTTATTGTGCTGTGGAGTTGGAATGAGGTGTGAGGTGTAGGCGTGGGAAGAAATAAACATGGAAAGAGTGACCCTTATCCTCCAAAAAGCCTGTGCTCCACTAGGGGAGATAGCTGTATACTCGAGTCATGCATAGGTTTGTCAAAGAAAGGGAGAGAGAAGAGCAAGGAAGGAAACTCAGTTTAGCAGTATTTTAAATAGAAGCATCACCACCAGGAATGGTGCACTTTTCCATCTCATCCCACGGACATGGTGGAGCAAAGAGAGTCTTTCCCATTCTGATTACAGATCACACCAGTGGAGGGCCCACTCATACATTTCATCCCTTCAGTGTGGTTAGCAACTGGAGAGCCCTAGGACTTAGGGCACTGGACAGACCCTTGCCTGTGATGATGAAAGGATAGTGAACATGTCCAGAGTGTCTCCGCTAAAACATGGTAGAGCTAGGTTTGAAAATCCAGATCTGGTTGACTTTAAATCTCATAGCCCTGGTCCTGAGACAGATACAATCAGCAAGGCATTTACCCTTTGACCCCAGATTCTTTATTGGCAAAATAAGCGACTTGGAAACAGTGGTTTTCAAACTTGTCTTTTTTTTTAATAAACAATTTAACACTTCTTTCAAATAAAGTATTATTCAAGTCCAAGACAGAAAACAGGTCAAAGCCACATTGCTTTGGTTGAAGACTGGGTGGGATCCACAGCTTTGATCTCTCTCTCACCCCAGACAAGTCTTGTGCTATCTTGCATTACTGTTCAGCAAATGATCATGCTCCCCTCCTCCTTCCATTGGAGAGTGTGCTTTATCACCCCACTGATGTTGGGCTTGCCTATATGACTTGCTTTGCTCAATGAAATAGAAGCAGACATGACATTGTTTACATTAAAAATGGGATTGCATAATCAAGATGACTTGGTGTTTTTCACCCTTGCCTCTGTTATGAGAAAAGTATGTCCCAGGCAGTCAATTGCTCCTTCAGCATGGAATGAAAGACAGGTGAAGAATCTGTGTATTTTACTTTTAGCCTGAACAAACTGAAAACCCATGAATGAGAAATAAAGGTTTGCTTTTGACCACCACTGAGATTTTTGGGGCTGCTCGTTACACAGTGTTACCATGGCAAAGTCTGACCGATATAAAGTCCCAAAACATGTACTCAAAACCTGTGTGGCTCACAGCACAGATCTAATTGGTGGAGAAAAGTGAGACCCTAAAAAATGAAACAAAACCCACAACAATCCCAACAACAAACAACAAACCCCACATTTATTCCATTGATAATCCCCATATCAGATAATTGAGTAGTTTTTTTGCTGCTTTGATGCCTAGTATTGCTATTTCCCTGTATTGTTTTCCAGTTAGATTTTTCAGAGTCTACACATCTGTGAAGCTTCTCATTTCACTGAAGTGAAATGACACCCTTGAGTGTCAACTGGCTTTTAGACATGAAGATGACAACCTTCCTGTGGTCATCTTGAGCGACCTGGTGTTGGGGAAAATGGGCTGCTTTCAGACTGCACAAAATCTGGAAATGGTTTAATTAGTGTGTAAGTTAATCAGGGTCCCTAAGTCAAAATTACCTGGAGTAGGCACATTTGCTTTTCTTAACCTCTTTTTCTTCTTTCCCACCGTGTTTTACTCTTTGTCTCCTTTCCACTCCCCGCAGGCCAAGAATGCAGGCACCACACATGGTTGTCTCTGTTTCATGAGCAGAACCTGAAATCATCAAAGTAGGTTTCAGGAGTTCTGAAATAAGTCCTGAGAATTTGCAATAAAATTTATTCTGATACAACCATTTTACTTTTAATGTTCTAAGAACTCACTTTAAGTGATAAATAGTCTGTGTGTTGAGTATGAAGAACAGCCTGTTTTTTTAAAAAATTTAATCTTAATGGGCTCCAAGTTCTTTGTAATGTTAACTGACAACACTTGATCATGGAGATTTTTGTCCATGGAGTCTCCTATGAGACGACTGCTTTGGCATACATTTCAGGAAGCTTTGGATTTATTCCTAGCTCCTTCAGGTTCTAGCACCCCGGTCTGTTTCTCACCAGCTCTTACGGACATGAAAATCTCCCTCTCTGGGCCACAGTTTGTTCATTTGTGAAATGGAAAGTTTAAATAAGATCATTTATGAGATTCTCAATATATCATTTACTATTCTTTCATAAAATTACTAAAAATGTAGTCATACTCATGTTTGATATTTCCTTGGGATAGAAGAGTTTAACCTCGCTTTGTATTTGGAATTATGTTTATTTATATGGAAGAGGGTCTGGAATCATGGTGGCAGAGAAAGTGAGTTACCTATCAGTAATGACAATTTTAATTTAAGATAAAAGACCGTATTTCTAAGCTTCTCTTAACAGCTATAGGTGGCCAAAAATATAAATGGAATTGTTAGGTGAGACTGTTGAGAAAATTCCTGCAGAGGGACACAAACAGCAGGAGTAGACCCTACTTGCTTGCTCTATCCCCCAACTTCTGCTTTCTGCCTGGAACAGAGAAGTAATGGTTGGAGCTCCTGTAGCCATTTTGAACCATGAAGCCAGCTTGAAATAAAAAACCATACACAAAGGATAGCAGAGCAGAAAAATAGAAAAAACTTAGGTTTCCTCTGTCACCATGGAGCCTTCATACTAGCCCTGAACATCTACCTTTGGACTTCTTTTATGTGTTAGAGAAATGAACTTCTGCTTTGTTTAAGTCACTGTTATTTTGAAAGTTTTTAATCGAGGCTGAATTCAATCCTGAACTGAGAGAGCCTAGCTTCTTGGTTCTTCAAAACTGCATTAGAGAACTTGCTAAAACACAGATTACTGGGCACACCCCTAGGGTTTTTGATTATGTAGGTCTAGGCTGCAGTCAGAGGATTTTCTTTTCTTTCTTTCTTTTTTTTTTTTTTGAGACAGGGTCTTGCTATGCTGCGTGTCACTGCCCCTGGCTGAGAATTTGCACTTGTAACAAGTTCCCTGGTGATGCTGTTGCTGCTGGTCCAGGGACCACATTTCAAGAACCACTGACTTAGAACATCTCCAATTCATTTGAAAAGGAGGGAATAAACCTTTGCCTCTTGACAAAGCAGTGTCATAAACCAGATTATAGGGTGTCGGCAAAATACTCCTTATGAAACATGTTTACATTTTGCTTCCAGACTCAAGATGAATGGCATCTTGGGAAGTTTTCATTTAAATACATGGGAATGGATAGTTCCTGAGTTTTTTTCCCTGAGAACAAAATGGCGAGAAGCTGGAGCTGACAAGAAATTCAGCCTGGAAGTACTGAGGCAGAGAAATGGCCATATGGAAGGTTGTGTGTGTTGCCATTTTCAATGGTGGCACGATTTTCCGTTCTCCCAAACAAATCTCCATCAGTGTTTTTAATAGTCTCAAATGCTCTTTTTATTGATATCAAAGGACAGATGGACTTTTTTTTTTTCTAAAGCGAGCTGAGGAAAATAAACAATCAGGCCAATTTAACCCAGTGTTTTGGAAAGTCACCTCGGGATGTCCTCGAGCCTGAGGAAATGTCACTTTCCCAAGTCTCCTCAGGGCAGCCCTTTTGTCCCTTGTTTCCTGAAGGGAACAGTGTGTCTGAAGAGTTTCCTTCTGCCTCCGCTCCAGTTCACCACTGACAACTGGGAAACTCAGTGACCTGAGCACAGCATCTGCAGAAATCTGTCAGAATGATTAGGCGATTCATGGCTGTGGGGTCTCAGAACAGCCCATGTCCCTGTAAATTGTTTCCTGAGCTTCATGGTGGCATCAGCATTAGTCATAAGTACCTTTCACAGAGATTGCAGCAGCTGAGTCCTGGGCTGTAAGATTACCTTGCTGTGGTCTGTTTCTCAAAAAGAAAAAGAAGTGCAAGGTGAATTCAGATCTCAGAGAATCCCCATCCCTCCAGCCCTCATGACCCTTTCTCTCCCCTTTAAATCTTTCTGAGAGCTTGTCTCCTTCACCCTTGGATAGAACTAATACTGCCCAGGTCTGAGCTTTGTATGCTTACCCTTTGTTTACATATTTTTTCTCTCTGGCCACTTGGCACAGACTAGATGCTTGGCACAACCTCTCACAAACTAGGTGCTTATTTTGTGGAAAAAACAGGTGGAAAGTGTGCAATGGGTGACAGCCTGGGATCTGCAACACGTGCACCTTTATTTCCTTCTCCTTTCCTGCCTTCATTCCTCTGTTTCTCCCTTCCTTCCATCCTTCTTTCCTTCCTTCCTTCCATCCTTCCTTCCTTCCTTCCTTGCCACAGGAGACTCAAGTCAATACTTTATAGCAGCAAAATTTACATACGGTGAAATGGACAAATCTTAAGTGTACAGTTTGGTGGTGACATTTAGCTCAAGACCTGAAAGCTTCATGTGGCTCAAGAGAATGACATTTCTATCACCCCCGAAGTTTCCTCATGCCCCTACCAGTCACTCGGCCCCTGCCTCAACCCTCAGAGGAAACCATTGTTCTGATTTTTATCATCATAGGTGAGTTTTTCCTGTTCTTGAATATCATTTAAGTGTCTGATTTCTTTCACTCAACATAGTGTTTTTGAGATGAAGAGGGCACATTTCTTAATTTTCTTAAAAATCAAATTACTTGACCTTGAGCCTCATGGCATTGGGTTCCTGGACACTCTTTTGAGTCAGAATTGGGGCTCTGAGCCCCAGCCTCAGCTACAAGGTCATGGCAACTCTGGCTACAGAGGAGGGGAGGTCTCGGGCACAGAAATATTTGGCAAGGCCTCTCCCTTCCTTATTCCACACAGGCTGAATCACGAAACACCAGCCATTGCTGAGGTTACTGTGGATAATATCAATCAAATAAGATGGTGCACATTGGCTTCCCTAATATGCCCATTGTCTGAGCCAGAGTCACAATGAATGGCATCTTGGGAAGTTTCCATGGTGCTTGGAAACTGAGACCATGGAGGCTCCCTGCAATTTCTAGACAAAGTACACCTGCCAAGGCCAGGGCTGCAGTGCCTAGAGAAGGTATCCTAGGTGTCCTTGCAGGTGCCCCAGGAGTTCCTGTCCCTCCTGAAGGCTCTGCCTTGGCCTCTTCTGGAGGGGCAGACCTTCTGACCTCCCTTTGCTGCCCAGTCTAGGGGAATCTCCTCCCTCTTCCCCTCCTTCCCATTCTTCCATCCCCAGGAATCTGCCTCTGTGTCCCCTCCTATTCCATTTACAGAAGCCAGGAATGGGATTGTTTTCTTCCAACAATGTCTCTTTTGCTTCTCTGTTATTGCTGCTTTGTGCTCTGACCCAGGCCTGAGACAAAAGACATCAAACTCCATCTCTGGTGGGAATGCAAAGGCCATCTATGGTGTGTACATAAAGGCCATCTCTGGTGGGTACTCTAATCTCCTTGTTTGGCTTACAAACCTTGTGTAATCTGGCCTGTCTTCTTCTCTGATCTTATCCTGTCTTCCTTTCTGATCTGATCTTGTGCTGCTCCTCTTTGCCTCACTCCCTACACCACAAGCCTAGTGGCTTTCTCTGTTTCTAGAATTCTCCAAGTTCATTCCCTTTTTAGGACCTTGGCACTAGCTAGTCCTTTTGTCTAGATTGTTACTTTCACTGGTCTTTGCCTGGCTGACTCTTCTCATTCAGATCTTAAACTAATTAAGATCATCCTTCAGCATCAAAAGTAAAGCCATTGTGTAGGCCCTAACTAATTCTACCACCCCTCTCCTGTTTTGATGTAATTCTGTGATATCACTTACCCCAGCTATTT
This sequence comes from Homo sapiens, assembly GCF_000001405.40. Taxonomy (NCBI): domain Eukaryota; kingdom Metazoa; phylum Chordata; class Mammalia; order Primates; family Hominidae; genus Homo; species Homo sapiens. Next base: position 8,963,200 of record NC_000020.11, on the reverse strand, counting down.
TTTCTAGTTCATTTGTTCCTTTATTTGTTCATTTATTATCTTGTTTCCCCATTAAAATGTAAGCCTGGGAGAACAGAGAGCTTATCTGTCATGTTCACCACGTGTATCAGTATCAGTTATCTACTGCCACAATAAAGCTGTGTAACAAATAACCAAGAAAACCTCAATGCCATAAACAAGTAGCGCTTACCATGCATTTGCATGTTAGCAATTTAGACTATGCTCAGTGGGACAGTTCTTCTGATCTTGGTTGGGCTCACGTGTCTGGCTGTTTGTTGGTTGGCTGTCAGCTGGAGTGATGTGAATAACTGGGATGCAACAGTGAAACAAGTCCCAATGAGCAGGCAACTTTATAAGCCTCGGGTTATGTCATGGTTGCTAATATCCCATTGGCCAAAGCAAGTCACACTGGCCACCCCAAGAGAGAGCATATGGACACTAGAAAGTTACACAGCCAAGGGGGAACATGAGAAGGTGTAGTATTAAGGCCAGTGATGTAATGAATCTCCCACAATATGTATTCCTAGCCTTTTCTACACAGAAGGCACTAAGTTCACATTTGGTTTCATTAATGGATGAGTTATTCTTTCATAAAGAACATAAGAAAAATCAATTAATATTAACAAACAAACAAAAAAGCCCTGGTGCAAAAAGTTATAATACTGTTACCCAAATACAGGGAGTTTCTGGATGGATTTCAGAAGTTGGAGAACCCCTGAAATGAGATATAAAATAAGGAAAAGATTATCCTTCTGGGCAGACAGCAGCCCATGTTAAAGCTGTGGCCTCATCCACTTCCTTGGCTGAGTACAACTATGCAGTACACAAACCACACAACGGCATGCAGCACCCCTAGGTACTCACATGTTAGAACAACTTTGAGTCTTTCTCCTCTGTCTTTAGTGTAGTTTATTGCCTTGACTAGGGCTGTGTCTACTTGTTCGGATGCCATCATTTTTCCAGCTTCAATGTTGATTCTCACAAGCCAATTATTTCTTGTCATGACTGTTACAGAAAGAAAGTGAAGGTTCATTCTGTCTGAAAAAACACTCAGCCTCCCAATATCCCCTGGGACGACTTCTTCCCAGCTTCTACCTGGAAATTCAGGTGCCTCTTATTGAGGTCCTTAGGGGAAATTATTCTTTATTTTACTTTATTTTATTTATTTATTTTCAGACGGAGTCTCGCTCTGTCGCCCAGGCTGGAGTGCAGTGGCGCGATCTCGGCTCACTGCGAGCTCCGCCTCCCGGCCTCACGCCATTCTCCTGCCTCAGCCTCCTGAGTAGCTGGGACTACAGGCGCCTGCCACGACGCCTGGCTAATTTTTTTTTTTTTTAGTAGAGACGGGATTTCACCATGTTAGCCAGGATGGTCTCGATCTCCTGACCTCGTGATCTGCCCGCCTCGGCCTCCCAAAGTGCTGGGATTACAGGTGTGAGCCACTGCGCCTGGCCAATTATTCTTTAAGCCCTAGACATACATCAACTTGCTTCATCGTCAAGAGGCATCTCAGGACCAACACCAGTCTCAAATGAATCACCAAACGCCAGACACTGCCGAGGTTACTGTGGATAACCTCAATCAAATAAGATAGTGCACATTGCCTTCCCTAACCACCCAAACAGTTTTTACACATTCAAAAAGTCTCTAAAATGACTGATTGATCCTTGTTTGCACCAAAGGGATGTCTCATTCCTAAGGAGGTGGTTTCTAATGTTAATATAGTTTGGATATGCGTGCCTTCCAAATCTCATGTTGAAATTTGGTCTTCCGTGTTGGAGGTCGGGCCTGGTGCGAGGTATTTGGGTCATGGAAGCAGATCCCTCATGAATGGTTTGGTGCTTTCCCAGAGGTAATAAGTGAATTTTCACTCCATTAGTTCACGTGGAAGCTGGTTGTTTAAAAGAGCATGGCATCCTTCTCCCTCTCTTGCTCCCTCTCTCACCACGGGACACATTTGCTCCCCCTTCACCTTCTACCATGACCATAAGCCTCTCACTGGATGCAGATGCCAGTGCCATGCTTCTTGTACAGCCTGCAAGAACCAGGAGCCAAATAAACCTTTTTTCCTTATGAATTACTCAGCCTCAGGTATTCTCTTACAGCAATGCAGAAGAGACTAGGACAAATATGTTTCTATTATCATAAATAGATATAAATGATGTAGACATTATAAATATGTAAAGAGATTGTCTTGTCATTTATAATAAATATGTTTTTGAAACATACTATTAATGTGGCTCTTCGGTTTCAAGGGAAAAAATCTGAACCATGATAATCATGGAAAAGTTGACGTTTCTATGATATGACTGTACGCCTGTTTTTTCATGTGGTTCTTTATGTTATAGCATCTTTCTTTTAAAATATGTTTTTAATTTTTTGGACACTCTAAATTTTAAAAAATCATACATGATCCACATCACAAGAAAGTGTAAATAAGAAAAATGCAAGAAATTATAATATTACTGATATGCGTACCAGCTAGATTGACAGTGTGATTTTTATAGTACTAAGTATGTAGAGTTCAACTTTCAGAGAGGAACATTTTTCTAAGTGGTTTCACTCTCCTGAGTCCTTCATGGCCCTGGAAGAATTATGACTATTGGTGATTCAGGAAGAATCTGGGAGCTACAGAAAATAACTGCTTAAAATGCAAAATGAGGCGGCAATAATGAACTGATTCTCCAGGGTCAAGAGGTGGATAATGTGTTTATGGACAACTTTCCACGAAGGAAGACTAAGATGTCGCTAAGATATGACTTCAAAGACACAGCAGTTCTATTAAAGTTTCCAGGGCTGATTTTGGGATTATCAACCTAAACCCTTGTAGATTATTATAAGAGTCCAGTGGCCTTAAATGCCTTGTCTGGAATTCTAACATTGCAGACCACTGTAACTTGTTAAGAGAACTGACAAGAGGGTGATGTGGAAACAGGGAAGAAATTATCGGGTTTCTGCTTCAAGGTCCACTTTTGAAAAGAGTCGTCATCAGTGCAGAAAAATATTGATAGACTTTGTCTCAGTAGAAGCTTCATGTCTTTTTCATCTCTCCAGAATTAAAGATCACTACCAGCAACAACCCATGTGACTCTATCTTCAATAAGAACACTTTGGATAACTTGGCTATTTTATAAGACAATTTTTCCAAGTGACATAAAGCAGTTAAAAGTGACCATAGAAAATCGATCTGCCCAGTTGATCTCCTCTTTTAAACTTAAAAAAAAAAATTCTTCGTGACAACTTGTTTCTAAGCCATTCTTTTAGCAATCAGAAGCAGATACATAGGGATTAGGAGTTGACAGATTTTTTTTTTGGAAATAATATAGAAAATATTTTTTGGCATTCTGGGCCACATGGTCTCTGTTACAACCATTCAACACTGCCCTGCAATGTGTAAACAGCAAGAGCTAACATGTAAATTAATGGACAATGCCAATACAGTTTTATTTACAGAAACAGAGTAAGCCTGTAGGCCATTGGCCAGAGTTTGCAAACCTCTCTTTGAGGGTCCTCCAAGCAAATGAGCCAGTCTTAGGGAATTCTTTACGGAGACAGAAAGTTAGAATATATCAGATTTGGAAAAGACAAAGGTACCATTTTGGGGGAAAAAATGCCCCAAACAAAAAACAAAACATCCAGAAGTTATGTTAATTTTACTTGAAAAACAGTAGGTTTGCACATTTATTTTTTAAAGTCAAAGAAATATTTTTCTCAAGTGAATATTCATAGCAAATCTCAGTAACATATAAAAAGATATTATAAAGGAGATGCTATATTTGAAAGGGAGAATCTCAATGTTTATCTTCTCTTTTGCCCTGTCAGCAATTTCCTAATATAGCTCTTGAAAATTCCAGGGTCTCTTGAGCAATTTAAAACTCACTGCTCCAGTATAATTTAAAAAAAAGCTTATCTCTAACTTAGGGTTATAAGACTTAGAAAGTAAAAATTCAGGATGCTCAGTTAAATTTGAATTTCAGCAACTTCTACTTTTTTAGCATAGACATGTCATATGCAATATTTGGAATATACACATACTAAAAGCTTACTCATTGTTGATCTGAAATCTAAATTTAACTGGGCATCCTAATTTAACTGGCTACTCTATCTCTACTTGTTTTTTTTTTTTTTTTTTTTGAGATGGGAGTTTCACTCTGTCACCCAGGCTGGAGTGCAGTGTCACCATCTCAGCTCACTGCAACCTCTGCCTCCTGGGCTCAATAGATTCTCCTGCCTCAGCCTCCTGAGTAGCTGGGACTACAGGTGCATGCCACCACGCCCAGCTAATTTTTGTATTTTTTGGTAGATGTGGGGTTTTGCCATGTTGCCTAGGCTGATCTTGAGCTCCTGGACTCAAGTGATCTGCTCACCTCAGCCTCCCAAAGTGCTGAGATTACAGGTGTGATCCATTGCACCTGGCCTACTCTTTTTTATTTTTATTTTTTTTTGAGATGGAGTCTTGCTCTGTCACCCAGGCTGGAGTGCAGTGGTGAAATCTTGGCTCACTGCAACCTCTGCCTCCTGGGTTCAAGTGATTCTCCTGCCTCAGCCTCCTGAGTAGCTGGGACTACAGGCATGTGCCACCATGCCCAGCTAATTTTTGTATTTTTAGTAGAGATGGAGTTTCACCATATTGGTCAGGCTGGTCTTGAACTCCTGACCTCGTGATCCGTCCGCCTCGGCCTCCCAAAGGGCTGGGATTACAGGAGTGAGCCACTGTGCCCGGCCTGCACCTGGCCTACTTCTTTAACTTCTCCAAGCCTCAGTTTTCTCATCTGTAAGGCAGGGGAATTGATAATACCAACATGATAGGATTGTTTTAAGTTTTAAAGCAGTGAATATTTGTAAAGCACATGGAAAGGATCCTAGCACATAGTCAGTGCTATCTTATGGCCTGTTAACTATTAGTTATGTTGTTAGCTAATTAGCTATTTTTAGTATTGGTATCAGTTGTTAAGAGCTTGTAATAATACTTACTGGTTGATATAATTGTTATGGACCGAACTGTGTCTCTACCAAATTTGCACGTTGACACTAGCACCCCCAATATGAATGTAAAGAGGTAATAAGGGTTAAATGAGGTCATAAGACTGAGGCCCTAATTTATATGACTCGTGTTCTTATAAGAAAAAGAGACACCAGAGATGCAAGAGAACAGAGAAAAAGTCATATGAGGACACAAGGAGACGGCAACCATCTGCAGGCCAATGAAAGAGGCCTCAAAAGAAACTAAACCTGCTGACAACCTGGTCTCAACTTTTAGCCTCCAGAACTGTGAGAAAATAAGTTTCTGTTGTTTAAGCCACACATTCTGTGGTATTTTGTTATGGCAGCCCTAACAACTTAATACAGAAATCATGCATATGACTTTAAAAATGGATTTCTGGCCAGGCGCAGTGGCTCACACCTGTAATCCCAGCACTTTGGGAGGCCGAGGCAGGTGGATCACTTGAGGCGAGGAGTTGGAGACCAGCCTGGCCAACATGGTGAAATCCTGTCTCTACTAAAATACCAAAATTAGCCGAGTGTGGTGGTGCATGCCTGTAATCCCAGCTACTCAGGAGACTGAGGAGGGAGAATCACTTGAACCCCGGAGGTGGAGGTGGCAGTGAGCCGAGATCACGCCACTGCACTCCAGCCTGGGCAACAAGAGTGAGGCTCTGTCTCAGAAAAAAAAAAAAAAAAAAAAAAAAGAAAATGGATTTCTATTGGCCATTTCATAAACTGAGATGTTATTTTAAGTATGAGTCAAAAGTGACATGATAATAGATTGATCTGATGATTCCTTTTATTAACCACACTCTGACAATTTTATTTTGGTACTTTTTAAAGTTTTGCTCTTCTTTGCCATTTGTAACTCACTTGAAGTTTATTTTGTGGTTGTCTTTTAAGATGTCCCCGAAGATGAAAGTAAAGTGTCTTGAGAAAGCAAGGCTTTGGCCAAAAACGATGTAATTCTACTCCACAGCTTAGTCCAAAGTAACTTTGGCTTGCATCTTAAAATTCTGTTATTGCAAATTATTTTTTTACTTTTGTCACTAAGATTAATGAACTAGATAAACAGTGGGCATTTACTTTTAATCTTTGGTAGTATTCATTATTTCAGCTAGACCAGGAAGTTAAGTATAAAATTCATCAATATTCAGCGTAAAACACCCATGTACAGCATCCTGGAATTGACTGTTTCTTTTTTTTTTTTTTTCCTGAGATGGAGTCTTGCTCTGTTGCCCAGGCTGGAGTGCAGTGGGGCGATCATGGCTTACTGCAACCTCCACCTCCTGGGTTCAAGTGATTCTCCTGCCTCAGCCTCCCAAGTAGCTGGGATTACAGACACACACCACCAGACCTGGCTAATTTATGTGTGTGTGTGTGTGTGTGTGTGTGTGTGTGTTTCCAGTAGAAATGAGGTTTCCCTATGTTGGCCAGGCTGGTCTTGGACTCCTGACCTCAAGTTATCCACCTGCCTCAGCCTCCGAAAGTGTTGGGATTACAGGTGTGAGCCACTGCGCCCGGCCCACTGTTTCTTAACGTTATTGAATATGTATTTGTGTCTTATTTTATATCAAGTTGACTTAGTAGTAAATCCTTTGTATTGTTTTGTAAACTCTTTAAGGTCTAAATAAACTCTCATCTTCAAAAATATAGATTCATTTTCTTCCTTTAAAAGACATAATATCCAGAATTTGCTTCGAAATTATATGGGAGTGAAAGAAGATTAATAATGAGGTGATGGTTATAGCTGTGTGATAGGGTACATTGGAGTTTATTATGACATTCTGTCTAGGGTATGTTTAAGAATTTCCACCTTGTGATAATTTCCAATTCTTTACTCCCCATTGAATAGAATTACATATGCACACTCTGCTGTTTGTGCAGTGCCTCCCACTTTGCTAGGCACTGATACACTTCTTCTCAGATGAGACTCAGCCCAAGGACATTCTCTGGTCAATGGAATGTGACTAGACCTGACATGGGCAATGTCCAAGCAGAGACTTCTTTTTTATATATAATTTTTATTTATTTATTTTTAATTGACAAGAAATTGTATGTATCTGTGGTGTACAACATGCTGTTTTGAAACAGGTATACATTGTGGAATGAGTAAATCAAGCCTATGAACATGAAGACTAAATGTACTTGCTTGCTTGCCTTGGCCCTTTATTTATGTATTTATTAATCTTTTTTCTTTTTTTTTTTGAGACAGAGTCTTACTCTGTCACCCAGGCTGGAGCAGTGGCTCCATCTTGGCTCACTGCAACCTCCGCCTCCTGGGTTCAAGCAATTCTCCTGCCTCAGTCTCCCAAGTAGGTTGGACTACAGGCATCTACCACCACACCCAGCTCTATATGTGTGTGTGTGTGTGTGTGTGTGTGTGTGTGTGTGTGTGTGTGTGTGTGTATATATATGGTTGTAGTTGTTGTTGTTGTAGAGATGAGGTTTCAACATGTTGGCCAGGCTGGTCTTGAACTCCTGACCTCAACTGATCGGGCTGCCTCAGCCTCCCAAAGCGCTAGGATTACAGGTGTGAGCCACGCACCTGGCCTGACTTGGCCTTTTATTCTCCACCCTCTGCTATGAAAAGAGGGTCCTCTGGGTAGATGTTATTCCTTCAGCCCACATCCTGGAACAAAAAACATAAAGCAGACCTGAACTTGAAGTCAACTTGGGGTCTAGCCTAGCCAAACCCAGCTGAAAATGGCCAAACCACAGCTGTAATAGTAAAATAAATGTTAGTTGCCTTAAGATACTGAGATTTTGGAATTGTTTGTTATGGAGCATTATCACTAGACAAACCTAACTAATACACCTAAATATTTTTTTAAATAAAGAAATACACATTTAAACACCTAATTTACATTAACAATTGTGTGCTACATAATTAGTTGGTGTCACTGACCTTGATCTAAGTTATCCTACCGGTTTTCTAACTGGAGTTCATCAGTATCTATTCAACAAATTTTAGAGCTAGAAACTGATTACACCACTGGCCTGGAGGTCCTGACTTACATGTAATAATTGACTTAGGACTCTTTCTACTGTTTCTTTAAAGGCTAGAGACCCATTCAAGCTCTGTTTAAGGACAGGCAGAACGCAATGCGGTTTCTCAACAGAATTCAAGGGCAGGAATCATGGCCTGGCTGGGCCTTAGAGGAACAAGAATTGTAACTGAAACCAAGTAAAGGCAGAGTTACCATATACGGTTGTGAAAGTGAGGGACTTTGGGTTAGCCTTTCACATCTTAGAGACTGTACATTTTTATAGTTATTATGACAATTTCCTGGCATATGGCAATAATGTGCCTTGTTCTATATCAGAAAATGTTTCAATAGGTGAAAAGTGTCTTGAGGAAGTAAAATATTTTTGAAATTTGCAAAAGGCATCATATAGGCTGTAGTGGTTGTGGCAACTTGGACTTCTCTTACTGTCTCTGCTATCAAATGGCTTTCTCGGGCTCAGCATTTTTGTTCCATCCTAATTTCAACTTGTACTCAGTGCATTGTCTTAGGACAAAGTCAGTGGACTTTGAGAAAAGGGTCAGATTTTTCCACTTAACCACAAGTGTCCTAGTTAATTAGCAGATCCTGAGAAAAGAACTTGGGTGCAAGTAGTTTATTTTTGAGTGATTCCAGGAAAGCACTAATGAGGGAGTTGGGAAAAGAAGAAGGAAAAGAAGTGAATCCAATAAAAGGTGTGCCAATGAGCAGGTTACTGCTATAACTGGCATTCACGTCTATGGAGACTCTCTATGGTATTGCGTAGAACATGCTTTAGATCTGTTCCCTGAGCAATGAAGAAACTGAGGCCTTTATCTACTGACTTCTGATTTTCATTGGCTGAGGGTCACTCCTGGTGGCATTAAATCCTCAACTTCCTGGCCATATCACAGGTAGCCTGAGAACACTTTCGAGGCTCTGGAGAAAGACTTCTTGCAGTGAAAAGGAAAGAAGCAGGTACTTCAGGTGGGGAGCTGATGGAGCCATCAGGAACTGTCCCCATCACAGCTGTGGATAAGTCAGGGATGGATTAAGGGACCATGGCATAGAGCATGCAGCTGTTGTACTAATAAGTTATTTGATTAGACCCAGAATGGGTGTAAGTAGGTGCAAAGGACTGAATGTATACATCCCTGCCAAATTCTTATATTGAAATTCGAACACCCCACAGGTTGATGGTGTTAGGAGGCAGGGCCTTTCATGAGTGATTAGGTTATGAGGACATAGCTGTTATAATGGGATTAGTTCCCTTATCAAGGAGACCCCAGAGGGATCCCTTGTCCCTTCTGCCATGCAAGATTATAGCCAAAAGACAGTGTCTATGAACCAGGAAGTGGGACCTCACCAGACACCAAATCTGCCAGTGCCTTGATCTTGAACTTCCTAGCCTCCAGAACAGTGAGAAATAAATTTCTATTGTTTATAAGCCACCCCATCTATGATATTTTGTTATAGCAGCCTAAATGGACAAGGACACTAGGGAAAATATTCTTGTATCTAGTATTTCAAATGAGTAAAATCTTAGGCTTTAGAGTCTACCACCCACAAAGTACCTTTCAAACCCTGAGGGAAAGGGAAGAACTGAAAGGTCAAAACACAAAATGAGAGCACTCCATCCACCTTGCCCTATTCTCCTTCCCAGGGGTTTCTCTCTGCCCTGCAGGAGCAAAGAAACAAAAGACAGGTCTGTACAAGGGGAGTCATTGCTGGGAGCATCTTCTGCCCCCTAGCCTGCAGTCCCTCTTCTCCAAAGGTGGAGCCCAGTTTATGCTATTTTACTATTAAGTACTGGAATTTGTATTTTGTTCTCCCTTAGTTTCATGTCTCTCAATGTCTGTCAAGCTGCCCTAACATTTTCTTAAAACAAAGCACACTTTGGACATGTTAATATCCCCCAAAGCGATGTTCAAAGTCTTTCTCACAGTAAAAGATAATGTAGCCAGGAAAACAGGAAAGGGCAGAGGGTCGTCTAGATTGTTTTGTGAGAGGATTGCAGAAAGGCAATTTTGATTGCACTTTTTCTATATGTTATGCACTCAGGAAGGATGGAAGCAAAAACATTACGTGATGTGTAGTCAATAAAATGGGCTCCACTGGACACTCATGATGATATCCCTGGGTTTATTCATCAAGGAAATGTGGGATTAGTTCACTCAGTGCCTACCCTGCTGTTAACAGCTTTAGTCCCTCTGTTTGACAAATTCAGAATCCCAAGAAATGTATCTGATGTGCTTTGGCTGTGTTCCCACTCAAATATCATCTTGAATTATAGCTCTCATAATTCCCATGTGTTGTGGGAGGGACCTAATGGGAGATAATTGAATCATGATGGCAGTTTCCCCCATACCGTTCTCATGGTAGTAAATAAGACTCATGAGATTTGATGGTTTTATAAGGGGTTTCCTCTTTCACTTGCCTCTCATTCTCTCATCACCAGCTGCCATTCTTCCTTCATCTTCCACCATGATTGTGAGTCCTCGCCAGCCAGGTGGAACTGTGAGTCAATTAAATCTCTTTCCTTTATGAATTACCCAGTCTTGGTATGTCTTTATCAGCAGTGTGAAAACAGACTAATATAGCATCTCATTGGTCCACTATATTATCAGGCTTGGCCACACAGGCTGCTGAAATGTCAACCAGTGGGCTACTTTGGGTCAGGATGGGTGCAATAAGCTATGATCTGGGGGAATAGGATAATGAGGGACCCCTGTGACTCTCAGTAGGATGTTTCCCCAAGAGATCAAACACCACAAGACCCATCTAGGAAACCAATTTTCCTAGGCAGATGATATAAAAAGCTGATTCACACTAACTTGTATTGCAGATGGTGATAGATGCACTAAGAGTCTACCATGGTTCAGATAAATTCATCTGGTTTCCTCTTTATCTTAGGTCAGGTTCCCTAGAAGCAGATCCTGAGATAGGGATTTATGTGTAGTGATATTTTTTCAAAAGAAATGTGCCTAGGAGAAACCACAAAAGGAGTTGGGACAGGCAGGCATGAAAAGGAAGGAGAAGAAGCCAGTGGAAGCTATGATTTCAGGTGTGGCCTCAGCCTCAGCCTGACCCTGACCCCACAGGGGAGCTTAGGAACATAAGCTACACATGCCTCAGAGTTTGTCCCCACTGGAGGGAAAGGAGCTGGACTTTTGTATTTTATATAAGCCAGTCTTAGGCTAATGGACACAGGGACCCAGGAGAGGGGTGAATGCATAGCCCTCTAGGAACTTACAGCTCTCAGGGTAAGTGGGCAGAGCAGCTCTGGTAGCCCAAAGGCAGTTGTAGAAATAGAGTCCTGGGTGCAGGCCATTTGAAACAAAGCACAGAGAAGCCAAAGGGAAGGACAGAGGGAGGTGGAGCTGGGAAGCTACATCTGACTCTGCATATTGTGAGGAAGGGTCCCCAAGTCTTAAGAGTATCTGGTATCCGATGTGCAAGGACTCACTAGGGGCCATCGACAGTGAGTAGCCCCTTCATTCTGAAAATGGCCTATTAGAAGGGGCTGGAATCTATATTAATGATGCTCTGGCTTTGCTGACCAGGGAGAGACTGCCCCTCCTAGGATTAGCACATCTTTAGACAGAAAAAATAACTAGAGTATGCCTCTCATATGCAGACCAACCAGTCCAAAGCTCATAACCCCAACTACCTCCCTTAGCTCTTCCACTCCAGGCCAATATTCCCTTGCCCTCATCATTCCAGGACCAGATCCCAGACAACTCAGGACAGCCTGGGCCCTTCAGAGCCCACTGAGATCATTCAAACTAGCAAACCCTAAGCCTGTTTACCCTGCCTTGCCTGTTTCTTCCCATGGAAACCACAAGAAAGGCTCTCACCCACACTTTCCCCTTGCTCCCTCTGCCTCCTGATGGACCCGGCTGCTTCTCCTGGTGTGGCGCTGAAGGGCACAGCTGCTCCCTCTTGAGAACTGTGAGTAATAAACTATCTTTTCAACGGCAGCTGTCTCCTATCTGTTGGTCTCACCATATCTAAATCATTATAAAACCTACATTTTAAAACAAAGCTTGAGCCGGGTGCATTGGTTTACGCCTGTAATCCCAGTACTTTGGGAGGCCAAGATGGGTGGATCACCTGAGGTCAGGAGTTCAAGACCAGCCTGGCCAACATGGTGAAACCTCGTCTCTACGAAAAATACAAAAATTAGCCGGGTGTGCTGGCTAGTGCCTGTAATCCCAGCTACTTGGGAGGCTGAGGCATGGGAATTGCTTGAACCTGGGAGGCAGAGTTGAGTGAGCCGAGATCGTGCCTCTGCACTCCAGCCTACGTGTCAGAGTGAGACTCTGTCTCAAAACAAAAAATTTAAAAAATCAATCAATCAATCAAACAAAGCTTGGCTGAGCACCTTTCAAAAAGGGTAGCAATTGAGGCTGGCATGAGGAAAAACCCGTAGGATGAGGTGATTAGAGGTAAAACCCCCACTAGAGTGAGGGGATATTCTGCTTAGAAATGGGATGACAGTTACTTTACAGAAACTATAAGTAATAGAGGTTGATGTCTTGTAATTGTGAGACATTTTCTGTTGTCTGATTATTCCCTTTCATCTGACAGGAGACAGTATGTGGAAAAGAATTAGATGTAGCACCATTCATAACCAAAAGCAAACTGGGGGCCTCAGTCAGATATTCTTTGTCCAGACAGGCAAACCCTGTAGAAATGAAGTAAGCAGTCACAGAACTGTCAGTATAGGGAGAGTGAATGGAGGATGGATAAAGGATGCTATTTTGGAGACCGTATGTACAGAGTTCTGGTCCTTATGTGGAAGAGCCAGGCCCATCTGAATCAGTATGTTGGAGAAGCAGTCACTGGAATAGCTGAGGATAATACAGAAGTTGATTATACTCCTCTCTGCCTCCTTCAGTCTAGATGATTGTGGAAAATATCATTCATTAGTCTTGAGAACACAATTGTACTGTGAAGGGCAAAAAAAAACAAAGCCAAATTTCAACAAGCCTCCCTAATCTGTCTTTGTTCCATCTGCCTCTCTATTTAGACTGGTTGATAGCCCTCATATATTGAGTTTGATTAAACATCTGGGCATCCCAGAGCTGACCCTGAAGGGCAGGGATCCAGAATACAATAGGATCAAAAAGCCTACAATGCTGAAAGGCTTAGTTAGTAAGGACAAGTGCTAGATGAAGCATATTTTGTGACTAAAGTGAAAAAGTCCTTATATGCCAAGGCTTTGTGATAGCTAGATCAGGGGTTTTGTTTAGTCTTGTATGGCATAATCTACAGCTCTCCATGCTCTGTGAGATCATTAATGATAAACTCCACCTTTTGGAAAAACACAGTTATCTCTGACCCATATTTTGCTAATTCATTCAGATGGAATTGTGTTAAGTCCCCTGACTTCTTTGAACTTCTCTTGGAGTTTCAAAGGGCAAAGAATGAGGTGCATGGGGTCAGGAAATAAGTCTGTATTTAGGTAAGTAGGTTCTGTTCTCTAGTCAATAAACTTCCTCTGAGTCATGTAAACATGTCCTCAATTCTTCACTCATCTCTGTAACCACCTTCCATTGCAGCAACTCCCATCAAGACATCTAATTCCCCAAGTCTTGATTCTGGGTTGGCCTTTTGACTTTCTTTGGCCTATAGAATGAGGTGGAATTTACATACTAGTTTTGAATAGAGCTTCAAGAGCACTTATATGCTTCTATCCTCTCAGAATTGTTTTAAGCTGCCATACATAAAAGTCCAGATTATCCTGTGGAAGAATGAGAAACACGTGGTTCATTCACCCTCATCATCCCAGGTAACAGTGAGCCAACCATGAGATATTTGAGTGAGAGCATCTTAGACTAGCTAGACCCCCTTATACATGATTTTCCAGTTGATAAGCACAAGTCTGTAGATCTCTGAGCCAACCCAGTAGAAACCAGAAGAATCACCCAGTTGAGCCAAGCCTAACTGCCAGTTCATAAAATCATGAGCTAAAATGGGTGCCATTTTAAGCCACTAAATTGGGATGGTTGTTTTGCAGAATAAATAACTGATGCAGTCAAGAAACAAAAGCTTTCTGAGCAGTATTTTCCTAACTCTGTGCTGCTTTCTTTGTAAAGTATCATGTTCTCCATCAGGAAATTTCAGAGAGACATTGAGAACTCTTTTTGGATCCCCAGTGTTAGAAAGAGGGCAATGGGGAAGCAGGCCTAGGTGGAGGAAGCTGAAGATGTAATGTTAACAGAGGAAACCACTATTTCAGGTCAAGCCAAAATAGAAGCCAAGAAATGAGATGAAGTAAAGAATCCTTGAAGGAACGGATCAAAAGATGAATTCTTACTGAGCAGATGTTGCCCAAGGAATATCTTGGACAAGATCTGCTTCTTTAGCACACTTAAGAAATGCCTCTTCAGTATACTTAAGGGCTGTCTCCTGTAGTTATGCTGCATTACTTCAAGAACGTAGGCTTGGCAACAATTCTTTCAATTCTTCCTTCTAAGCCCACTGGTTTCTGCCTATGTGTAGACAAATGTTTTGAAAGCAAGGCAGTATCCACATGTTCTGCACAGAAACTTTCTAGGAAAATTTCCAATCAGAACGTTCAATCAAGCCTGTTGATGAAGTCTGTCTGCACAATGGCATGATCAGCAGGAGACACAAGTGTTAGTCTCCCTGATGAGATTGCAAACATGGACATTTGCTGCCAAGTGATTGAAAAGAAAGCTGCATTGAAAGCATTTCTGTCAGAGTGTGCAGACATTGCCTTCATCAAGTGTTCTTAAGATCCATCCATCATTTTGGGGTGCAGGTTCTGTTTTGAATTTAAGAATACTTTACTAAATTATTCATAATGAACCATATGCAGAGTGCAAAGTTTTTTGGAGATTTAGATAGATTCTGCTTTCAGTTCCCAACCCAAGAGGTCTGAGGCTTCCCACAAATCTACCTCTCCAGTGAGAGAACTTGTTCTGCAAAATAGATCAGCACCCTACACACTACCTGTCCTGGAACACCTGAGTCAAATTTCTAAAAAGCATTTCCCTCAAAGTCAAGATGGCAATTTCCTCACCTGTACAGTGGTTACCAGTAAAGATTCCATCTAGATGAAAACAAACAATTTGAGAATTAAGCATATTAAAGAATATGAAAACAAACAGAAAAGTCCTAAATGCCTAAAAATATGAGATCTTATGGAAATTGCTCCCCAGATGAATTATTTTGGGAAGGCAACATTTGCTCCCAGAAGTGATCCACTAATAGTAGAATTGCAAGAGCCTGGAAATAGAACAGTCCCGACAATTCTTCAGATTGTGCCACCTACCTGAATTTACCTGTCCCACATTTGCTTATGGCTAGGTCCATTCTCCTCATGGCTTAAAAGCCCACCTGGATGTTGGTTATCTCAAGTATGGCAAACCTGCAGGTGCACGAGCATGCCTTGAGACCAAGGCATGTCTGCTCCACAACAAAAACTTGCACACTGACTTCAGTTGAGTCGGACAAACATTTACTAAGCCCATACTTTGTGCCAGTTATTGTTTAGAGCTATTTGTGCTTGAAATTCACAGATGGCTTTCAATTATCTTTTTTGTCTGGCTTCCCCATAGACTTCTTCTACCAAGTCTACTGGAATGAAAATGAGTCGGATAATGTCTTATGAGACTGTAGGTGAGAGAAGAAGAGAGTAAGCAGCACACAGCATGAACCAAGTGTAGGAGGTGTCCCTCTTTTCTGACACCAGCTGATACTCCCTGCTACCAACCCCTCAGTGGTACCCACACAGAGGCAGTGGTGCAGGCTCTCTTCTTGGCACAGGTGTGATGGCAAATCTAGGTTAGTGCCTCCGACAAACAGAGAAATAAGAATTTATTTTTTGAGGTTTTGTTACAACCTTTCACAGGCATTGCTCAAACAGCCCACAAAAGTCCAGTCTCTTTGTAGATGTCCTATTTATAGTGACAGTTACAGCTGAAATGAAAGAAACTTCTTGTTCATCCTTTTATTTTCAATAGTTCAGCCCACGCCAGCATAAATTAGGACTATCTTGCCCCCACAAATCCTATTAATGAGAATAGGTTCGATGTGTTCTTTGTTGTGTGTAGTTGTCAGTTATCCTTGGAAAGGATGGTCAAGGGTTGGGGGTGGCTCAGAGAGCCTGAGTAAGTTCAGTCTAATGTTGATTCCTGCCCCTCATTTGTGTTGTCAGTTTGAATTCTTTCCCCACCAGACTTCTCATAGAAAATGCAAATAAATAGTCATATTGGAAAGATCTTTCCTTTTTTTCATTTGCTTTCATTGCCTCTGCCTTTTTCCTTGTTGCATGGCAAAATGGGGCTGCAGGGGAGGAAAGCTGCAGCAGGGGACTTACATAATTCAGAGCCTTCCAGAAGAGTTAATGGAGTTACGTGACTGTATCCTAATTGTTTCCCCCTTGGGTTCCATTAAATGTTAGGAACTTTCAGGCTCTCCACAAATTTATCATCTTCAAATTCCCATGGATTATAGAAACCAAAGGGCCTGATCCCAAAGCTTAACATTGTTTCCAGTGCCAGCAGAAGGCTTAAAGGATTAGATCACGAGGAACCCAGAGAGGATACTTTCTGTCTTAAGCGGGTAAATAACAGCTTCAAATTTGGCTGAGATTCTTTTGCTGGAAAATCTCCCCTTTCACATCATTGTCAAAGGGCCGACAGTGTTTTTATTTTTTATAACGGCATCATAACTTTTGCACACAGGCAAGGGCTGCTGGTGACCAGAATTATTATTGCTTCACCCATGAATGGCCACTTTATGTTAGTGTTTTGCTGGGTCCTTATTTTATTATCCTCTTTTGATGGGCTTCTAGGGAGTTTGGGAAGAGTTAGACTATCTCCTCTCAACATGTTTTCAATGATAGGGGGTGTCATAGACACTGTCTATAACATAACACAAATCTCAAACAGTGTCTTACTTGGATAATATTAGCTTCTCTTTATCAGGTGTTTATCAAGGGCCAAGAATTATTTTTAGGCGCCCTGGTCAGGGCCTCAGTGGAAAGCACATGGTACATTTAAAAAGAGTAGTTGAAGGGTGTTTAGTGAAGGGACTATTATAAGAAACCAACAGGGTATGTTGCTGTTCTAGCAACAGCAAAGAGCTTTTTGCCTTTACCAGACACTTTTCTAGAGGGGGTGGGTTTCAAAGTTAGTGAGAGTTCTAGGGGAGGGCCAGGAGACAGAAGAAATTGGTAATTGCCAAACCACAGCCTTCTAATCTCTTGAACATGCTTTCCATTGGTCAAATCGAACCAGAAGTCAGAGGGCAAGAGGGCCAGGTGGCAGAGCCATTAGAGATCAGGTTCCTATTCTGGGCTGAGGCTGGATCTCACATTCACTTTATTATTAACATGATTGTTTTTCAGAAAAACAGAGAGGTTAAGTAACCAGCCTAGGGTCACCCAGAAAGGGAATGATAGAACTGGAATTTGAATCCAGGAAGACTCTTTCTGGAGCTTGGACTCCTAGTTAATCATGTTATTCTGACATTGGGTGCCTTTGAGCACAAAACACTTAAAGACTCCCATAACCCCTCCAGATCAGTGTTTTTCTGATTATCAGACTTAGCGATTATACGTTTATCTGCATAACTACCAATCCTCTCAACAGACTCTGTGTTCCAAGAGGCCAAGAACTTTATATTTATTTCCTTCAGGGTTGAATTTCCTAGTACAGAGCACATAGTAGGCACCCACTCCATTTTTTTTCTAATGAATGAATAAATTTATGGAGAACCTCCTATGTGCCAGGTTCTGTGCTAGGTGCTGCCTTGTTCCTTTCTTTAGGGTAATGTTCAGTCATCCAGTTCTGTTCACTTGCCCCCAGGTACCACCTTTTCTTCAAGTAGAATTTCTTCTCAATTCTCCAACCTGCATGGGCAGGAGTTACGAGTTTCAGGCTATGGTCATGAGGTGGTGGAATAAAAGGACCAAGGAGGCATCAAAGTTTCTCCTTCCATCATCAGCACACCCTCTCTGCCAACCTTGGGTAGCCTCTTTTTCTCAGGGATGGACTGAGCAGCTCCTTCTCTGGCTGCCTCTAGAGCAGAGAGCATGTTGGGGCCTTTGTTTTATGCCCCTTTCTTCCTATGCTTCCCTTTCTTGGCTCAGTTCTGTGCTTCAAACTGTTATGTCTTACTTAGGCCAGGCCATATTTGGTCTTTATTTCTCCCATTTATACAAACTGAATAAACCTCAGCCTATGGAGCAATTGGACTTCATTAGCCCAGAACTAGCGGGCGGCTGGTTGCATGTACTTAGGGAAAGAGGCCAGCCAGGATGACACAGTTTCCAGGGTCTGATTTACCAGCCACAGAGAACAGAACCCTTGGCCTGATTCATCCCATGAGAATAAAGAGCACCCAATAATTCGTTGTCATTAGCATGATGTATTGGAAAAAGAAGAAATCTATAATGTGATTTCCCTCTCCTTCTGAGATTTAAAGACATATTGCAATCTTTGACACATATGGATTATTGATGGTTTTCTAAATATTCTTTGGAAGAATGCTTTACCATTTGTTTAGGAAGAAATGCATTAATGAAGAATAGTAGAGGTGACAAGTATGTGTGTGTGCGGAGGGTGTCTTACAATGTCATTTAGTCCATTTCCCTATCTCAGGGCCACTCTACGTCATCCAAGAGAGGTTTCTTTCTATTTTGAAAGAATAAATAGTTCTAAAATATTCTTTGCAAACTGTAATGATGAACTGACTTTTTAGAGCTTTTATGTAAGCAACTTACTATATTTAAAATCTAATTATTTTAACTCTAAAAATAATCTTAATCTAATTTTTCTTATGAAAATATTCTAATATACACAAAGCAGAATGAATAATACAATGAATTCCCATATACCCATCACCCAGACTCAACAATTACCAAGAGTTTACCAAAATTGCTCTATCTATTTCTTTCTTTCTCATTTTCTTTTTCTGTTTTTAAATTTTTATCATGGAAACACACACACACAAACAAAACAAAACAAAACAAAACAAAAAGAAAGTTTTATCATGGAATTGTTCTGAAGCAAATCCCAGACACCATGTCATTTTATGCCTGCACACTGCAGTCTGAATCTATAAAAACTATGGTCATTGGTTTTCACTGTATATTCCATGGCAATATTTCATTATTCCATAATAATAATGCCAACTAATAATACTTTGAAAAATATTGACAATCATTACATTGTTGAATGACAAGTATGCACCAGGAAATTCATTATTTCAGTCCAGGCATGTTTGTGAGAATAGACTGAACTCCATTGGAGCTAGTTTTAAAACAGGATTTTGTGCATGACTATCTCCCTGAACCAAGGACAAAAAAGTAGCCAGGCTGCCACCAAGGGAATGAAACTAGGAAGTGGAAAGTCATTAGCATTAGGGACTTCCCCAAACTGCCATGTGTTTCCCTGAAAAATCTGTAGCAAGAGAAATCTCTGGCCCCTTTACTGCTGTTCTCTTATAAATCTCTGTGTATATCCAATTTCTATGCAGCTGCAGAAGGAACTCAGTCTTCTGAGAGTAGGCAATCAGGAAACTGCTATGGCAGTTTGGATCTGAAGCTGAATTTTTAACAATATGTTGCTAGGACGTCATACCTGAGACTTGAAAGATTTGATGTTCAAGTTCCAAAGTTTTGGTTTTATGGAATGGGATCACCCACCTCTGTGTGTAGTTGTTCTCTTTTCCAGTCTTTTCCCTCTGATGCTAAAGAATTCAGAACAAAGAAGTCTGCACCAAATGTTTAGCACAAATAATGGAATGCAAGTCACCTTTAATCACCCCTGTTTCTGTAGCTTATCCATAGGGAGATATGGATGCTTGAGGGGCTGAATTGTATAAGCAGCTTGGAGACGGAGGTGGGCTGGGCTCCAACGGCAGGACTTAATGAACTTAGACCTTTACCCGTGAGTTGAAAATGCCTGCTGCCATTCATAACAGGTTCAGAAGGGTTCCCATCCCAACAGAGCGGGGCTACTTTCATTCTCTACACAAATATCTTCCTCATTTTGTGTTCATTTTTCTCTGTCTGCAAACCAGTTGCTTCTATCCTTGCTTGTTGCCCAAACAAGTGGTTCTAGTCCAGGTGCCTCAAGTGGACTAACTAGAATTTCTATGTTTCATTTTCAAATTTTTGAGGGAAAACATCTAGTTGGCCTAAGACAAACTTTGCATCATTTGTTCATGCTTTGTCCTATCCATTGTGGTCAGAGGAGAGAAGGTAGAAAGGGCTGTACAGGTTGCTCCTGGTGTTGGAAGTGGGGGAACAGTTCTCAGAGAAAGGACTTTGGATGGGCAAACTCATCTAAAAGGTATCTATCATACCTAATTTAACCACCACAGCTTCCTATGAGGATTTTACAAAAAGGTTAGTTGGGGCTTAGAGAATTATTTTGATTAAGATTACACATTTGGGTGGCAGAATTAAGATTTGAAACCAATTCCATATGCCTCCAGAGCTCCTAGTCTTGCCAATCCCTAGTCTACATTATTCTCATCTCAATATTAATTTATTCATTCGATAATTGTTGCCGCCATTCTGGAGACCTGAGCAGTTTCTTATTTTATAACCTTCAGTCTTTTAGAAAACAAGAGAGTGGTTATTTTGTTTCAATGGGGGGAGAGAGGGCACAAAAGTCACTTTATCCATTAGATATCAGCCAAAAGCTTAGGAATACATGCCCATGAGTTGACAAAACCCCAAGGATGATGAGAACCAGATTGTCTATACCAGGGGCCAGCAAACTTTTTCTGTAAAGGGCTAGAGAGTAAATATTTTAGATTTTGTGAGCCACGTGGTCTCTGTTGCAACTACACAGTGCTGCTGTTTTAGCACGAGAGCAGCCATAGGCAATAGGTACAAATGTGGGATGTGTTCCAATAAACATTTCTTTATAGACCCTGAAACTTGAATTTCATATAATTTTCACATCACAAAATATTCTTCTGATTTCTTCAACCATTAAAAATATAAAACCATTCTTAGTTTACAGGCCATACAAAAACAGGTTATGGGCCAAATTTGGTTAGTGGGCCATCGTTTGCCAAGCACTAGTATACATTATTTTTAGCCTAATATTAATTTACTCATTCAGTAACCATTGAGAAAACACCAGCTGCACATTAGGCGCATGGAAGGCACTGCATGGCAGGCATTGCATGCGTGATGCAAACAGATCCAGACCCTGCTTTCATAGAACTGACCATCTAGTGAAAAGACGATATTAATCACATAATTACATCAAAATGTTAAAAATTACAACAGTAATAAAGTCCATGAAATAAAAGATAAAGGAGTTTTGATTATGTATTGCAAGAAGAGTTGATTTACTTTGAGGGTGGGGTTAGAGAAATTCCCCATTTATTGAGCTAAAGTCTTCTTGTCTTGCCCATGAACTCCCACACCTGAAATTAATATTGCTGACTCTCATCCATCACATGGTACTCACTGGCTCTGGGGCGAGTGTCTATTATGGTTATATCTAGCCAGTCTTACCCACCTTTGAAGCAATGTGGATTTTTGTTGGGATGAGCCACCTTGCATTTGTTCCTACTGATTTTTTTTCCTCATTTCTAACAAGCTGTCTTTTTAATTTACCCAGGATCATATTGAATTCTAGTCTAGTCCCTTGATCCCTTAGCAACTCCATCTATCTTCATTTTGCTTGCCATTCTAATCCTTATTAATCCCCAGTTCTTTCAGCCAGGCAATTGATAAAGATATTCTGCACCCAGAATAAAATGTCCTTCCTCTTGGGTGCATGGTTCTGTTAAAGTTCCTAAAATTGTTTATTCCATTTCTTTGATCAGAAGAGCAGCAGATACTTCAATCCATTGGCGCTAGCACAATTCCTAGCTTAAACAAATAGATCAGAATATCCCAGGATATAATGCTAGGATGTAAGATATACTCATCTTGAAAACATCCAGGTGCTTGGTGCAAAATATGTTACTGAAATGAATGAAGCTCATTTAAACTTGAAACTATCAGAGATGTATTTGTAAATCTTGGACTTAGAGTCAGAAAATATGTTTAAATTTTGGCCCTGCAACTTAAGAGATAGGAAACTGTGAGCCCTTCTAGGTTTCCATTTCTTCAAATGGAACAGGTGAATAAAAAGTTCTTTCCCACAGAATTGGAGGAGCAAGCCCTATAAAAATCTGTGTTCGTTAAATGGAAACATCTTGTGGCTTCTTTGATAATATACCTAATGCAGCAACTGGATTAATTGATTTGCATTTCTATGACTGCACACAACATTCTGGGTGAAGAACCAAAGGACATCAGCATGAGAAAAACAATCAACTAAATTTAATTTGGTTATTGCCCTGGTCACACAGGGTGGTGGTTTTAAAAAAATGGCTGAAAATCCTTTGATATTATTCCCATTTAGAGGTGGGGTATAATCGCCTCCCCTTGAATTTGCTTGGGTTTGTGACTCATTTATAATTAACCGAATGCAACAGAAGCAATGCTGTATGATTTCTAAGGCAAAGTCAGTTCCCCTGGGTTCTCAGGGAACACTCGCTATGGGGAAGTTAGAGGTTAACCATATAAGAAAACTGACTGCCCTGACATCAACATGCTGGGGAATTACATGTAGATGCCCCAGTCATCAGCCCTAGCTAAGTCCACTGACAGCCTGCACCTCCTGCTAGGCACTTGAGTGAGCCATCTTGCGTGTCCAGTCCTTCAGATGACTGCAGTCCAGCCAACATCTGATTGCAACTGCATGAGAGATTCCAAGAGACAACTGCTCAGCTGGGCTGTTTCTGAATTCCTAACCCACAAGACCAAGAACAAGATAAAATAATAAAAGCTGCTAAGTTTTGGTGTAATCTGTTATGTAGCAATAATATCAGCAATAATAACAAGAAATACAGTCACAATAGCAAGTGAATATTACTCTAACCATTTGAGGGTGATGGTGGAGATGCTGGTGGTGGTGGTGAAACAACACAGCTTAGCAATGTTAGATGGATACATATTGGTTAGGACTTATTTGTGTCATTAGGACAGAATCAAAAAGAGAAGCATAATGGAAGCAATGAGTTGAGAGAAGCATAATGGAAGCAATGAGGGACAAATCTTTGTTGCGCTTCATTCCCATTGAGGTGATGGAG
Organism: Homo sapiens; assembly: GCF_000001405.40. Taxonomy (NCBI): domain Eukaryota; kingdom Metazoa; phylum Chordata; class Mammalia; order Primates; family Hominidae; genus Homo; species Homo sapiens. Next base: position 8,940,086 of record NC_000020.11, on the reverse strand, counting down.
GTAACTTTTTAAGGGCTATACTGACTCTTAAGCACATAATAGCCATGACTGCTTAACACTGTCAAGCAAGGTCTGGTTTTATGTCCATAGATTATCTATGGAGTGTTACATAAAATCTATAAGAGGCCATTGATTTGGACTGAGCTCCTACATTAGGCTCCAACAGACCAAACCGAAATGGAGTCAGTCATGTTCAAGTTCTCCATTACCATTACTCTATTACTTAGATAATAAAACTAAGTGTTATTATCTGACTTTCCAAGAAATCAGGAGAGGGATGGCTAGTAGCCAAACTCCCCAAAAGGCCAGTTTTAGCCAGCATGATAAGGAAGTCCCCTCGACTTTAACTCTTTCAAAAAGAGTAATGTGAAGTAACCTGATGCTAACTAATCTGCTTTTTGTTCCCTGTTTCTGCTTTCTTCAGCCCCTTTTTGCCTATAAAGCCAACTCCTGCTCAGGTCATCAGAGAGCCTTTTCTAACTCTTTAGATGAGATGCCCCCCAAGGCATGAAAAAGCCAATTAGATCTTTAAGTTTGTTGAAATTTGGCTTTTGCCAAGAGCACAGGCCACACCTGAATCTTAGCCACCACTTTAAAACATGTATGTTTCCTTATAATCAAAAATTGAAAGACGTGGGGGAAAAGGGGGAAACAGAATCCAATCATAAATACATCTTTCCAAATCTCACATTTGTAAAACTCTTTTAACCTGATTTACCCTGATATGGTTTGGATCTGTGTCTTTGACCAAATCTCATGTCGAACCGTAATCCCCAATACTGGTGATGGGGCTTTGTGGGAGGTAATGGGATCATGGAGGTAATCTTCATGAACCTTCATGAATGGTTTAGCACCATCCTCCTGGTGCTGCTCTCATGACAGTGAGTGACTGCTCAAGAGATCTGGTTGTTTAGAGGTGTGTAGCACCTTCCCCCACACCCCTTCCTCCTGCTCCAGCCATGTGAAGTACTGGCTCCCCCTTCGTCTTCCACCATGATTGTAAGTTCTCCGAGGCCTCCCCAGAAACTGAGCAGATACTGCCATGCTTCCTGTACAGCCTGTGGGACCATGAGCCAGTTAAGCCTCTTTTCTTTTAAATTACCCAGACTCAGGTATTTTTTTATAGCAGTGTTAGAGCTGACTAATACAGACTCTAATTGGCAATGTATGACAAAATGCAAAAATAAATTTTTTCAAAAGTATATGAGGTAGTGATTCATTACCTGGGATCATTAAACTTTGAGGTATCTCTCCAGGGGTCCTTAAGATTTTTTATTGGCTTTTAAGTAAACATTTTATTTAAGTATAACATATTTAGAAAAGTGCAGTAGGAGGTAGTGTACAGCTTAATAAATTTTTTACAGGCTGAACACACTTGGGGAACTAGAGACCAAGTCTGAAATCAGAACATGACGAGTTCTCCACAAGTTCCCTTATACCTTCCTCTAGTAAGTACTCCACCTAATCATCATTCTGGCTTCTAACACAATAGATTAATTTGGTCTGCTTTTGAGCTTTATATAATGAGACTCACACATTGTATACTCTCTTGTCTGCCTTCTTGTGCCCCATATTGTGTTTGTGAAATTCATACATGTGGTCAGGTATAATTGAAGATTGTTCATTCTCATTGCAGTATAGTATTCCCTTGTGCCAGTATACTGCGATTTAGTTAGCCATTCTTCTACTGGTGTTCTCAATAGATTTATAATATTTCATACAGCTTAATGGAAAATGTGAAGCTCTAATTGGAATCAATTCTGTTGAAAACCTTGAGTATCGAATGTGGTAACTTTGGTTTGGAATAAGCAGTCACTATGATCTTATTGTTGGACACTCACTATGGAGAACCTCTGATTGGCAACCCCAGTCTTTGATGATATTTTTTTTAATGGCCTCAAAATGCAGAGTTGGCACTGAAGTCCTTTTGGCCTCAGTGTCTGTAAGGATTCAGCTCTTAAAATGTCAGTGGTTCCCTCTGAGGGTAAGTTTATGGCAAGGAAAACACTGAGCTGAAGAAAACATTGGGCTTAGAGGTTTAGTGGAATGATCAAATCAAATTTCTGAATTACAGTCTGCAGTTTTTGTGGGCTTGTGAAGGATAAGCACATGCTAGCTTCAGAAGACATGCCACGAGGCAGCTCTCTTTATGTGAAAATATCAGGTGACACTACTCTTATTAGGAAACAGAACCCATGCAATTCACACCCGCTTAAAATAAAAAGCAAGTTATTAACACTTCCCAACAGCCATGATGACTGCAGTAAACAAAGGCAGTCTCCTGGCATCAATAAGAAATTGTGGCAGGAGCAGGCTGTGACATTGGGCTACAACTTAGACCCCATCTGAGTAGTTTACCTCCCTTTTGTTGAAAAACTGGGATCTTTGTGTTAAACCTGAAGATTCTCTCCACGTGATTCTTTACCTAGAGTCCTTAATACACACCTTTATGCCGCGCTATATCAGGAAGAATTCTATCCCAGTGACCTCTAATTAACCAGACATCAACTCTGTACATTGTCCCAGGACGAGTCAATTCTTTCAGGAGTTAGTTTCTTAAAACCTAGACCTTATTTTTTGCTTGGGTAATTTTGTGATTCGTGGAGGCAATTTTGTATTAATCAGGGTAACATAACTGCTGTTACAGAAAAGCCTCTATGCCTCGCTCGTTACTACCACTCCCTTCCCTGCGCCCATTCCCTGCTGGGCCAGAGAGGCCACGCCACTGCCTGGTAAAAAGAGTTGGGAGAAGAAAAGCCGAGAAGCGGGTCCTAAGGACGAGCTCGCAGTGCTCCTGAGGAAAGCGGCGCCAAGATGGCTGCCTCAAGGGGGAGATGGAGGCCGAGTCACTCCGCTCGCCCCTGGAGGCCGGATGCTGTTTTCTAATGTGATCGTCCTGCCCTCGGCCCTGACTGTCATGGTGGCTGTCACCACTTCCGGCCTGCTGCCTACACAGATTGCGCTGTCTGAGGGAGAGGGATCCTGGCAGTCCCAGGACCTGCCTTCTTGGAAACAGCAGGGTTGGAGCACAGGAGCACCTTGTAGATGGGCTTGTGAGGGAGCAGATTCCACTGCAGAAACCCCTGTAGAGGAGCAGGACGCAGGGGACATGCTGTGGCCCAGACAGTGGTGGTGGAGCAGATGGAGCCTGCATCTGCCCAATTTGGCCAAAAAGTCCCCATACTCTCTGTGAAAAAGATTTCCAGAAGCTGTGTCAATAACAAAGCAAAAAAAAAAAGAAAAGAAAAACACAAAATCATAAACACTAAAGATCATTCTTGAGTCTGATTTGAAAACTGGGGTCAAATTCTGCAGAGGGATGCAAGGGACAAGATAGCCAGATCTGTAGGTCCTCTCCGTCACACCAGGGAAAATGCTCCATTCACCATTCCTCAGGTCCGGCTCCAGTTTGAGTTCTGTCTATATCGGAGGGGTTTTAAAGCTAGAGGTCACAAGGTTAAGAGATCAAGGCCATCCTGGCCAAAATAGTGAAACCCAGTCTCTACTAAAAATACGAAAATTAGCTGGGCATAGTGGTGCGTGCCTGTAGTCCCAGCTACTCGGGAGGCTGAGGCAGGAGAATGGCTTGAACCCGGGAGGCTGAGGCTGCATTGAGCTGAGGTCACACCACTGCACTCCAGCCTGGGCAACAAGAGCAAAAATCCATCTCAGAAAAAAAAAAAAAAATAGAGAGAGGTCAAGAGGGGAAAGTGTCATGTCATAAGTCAGAGTAGAGTCAACAAGAAAATAAGACAGTGACTGACGCCCTACTGTATACTGGACATTGGTTAGCTACCGGGGATGCGGAGATGAAGAAAACATAGTCCCTTCTTCAAGAAGCTCAATCTAGCAAGGTAGATAGACTCTTTACAGGCAGGACCAGGCTTCCCTGCAGCAGAAGAAGACTTGAAATCAGGGTCATGAGCCTCAGCAGGGACGGGTCAGCATGCTGCCCTGAGAGGATCATGTGTGGACCCCGGGCTGTGGCATGCTTCTGCTTTGACCCTCTAGCTGCGCTGTAGGACCCGGTGGGGCCTGGAGTGGCCTGAGGTAGGGGCTGCAGTGAGCTTTTTCCACTCCCCCAAGGCACTGCATAAGTAATGTCACTTTATATTAACACAAAATCAGGGACACAGTTTTTTCAAACACAGGGTGCTTCCCCTCCCCACAGTCCAGCCCGACAGATGGTCTATCCTGATTGGTGGGCCCTTGTTTCTGTTGGAGAGGAGACAGTCCTCAGGGTTCCAAGTGGTCAGTTGTGGCCCACAGGCCACTGGCAAGTGGAGGCAGAGCTGCAGAGCCCTCAAGAGCCATGGAGAGCCTGTTGCCCGCTAGGAGATGCATACTCAGCTGCTGATGGCCCACCTGTGGATGGCAGAACTAGTGATGTGCAGAATCCTGGGACTAGTGCCAGTGAGTGTTGGAGGGAGGTGACTGACCTCCTTGGCCCACACCCCACTGAGAATCCCGCATCTGCTCAGGGGCAGTAGAGACCATGTGGACCATCAGGACTTGGTAGTGAAGGGAAATAGGGAAGCAAGACATCGTGGTCACCCAGCGTCTTGGGCACAAGTCCCTCTGAAGAGTGTGGATGATGACAGTGACTTAGGTGCGTTCTTTAAATGTCCTGAGGGGGAGATTGGAGAAGCAGACATGCAACTGTGGGAAGAAAACCAAAGGGATAAAGTACTCATAGCATAAATCCAAAGTTGGCTCAGCCAGCAGGCCTCTCTGTAGGGTGCAAGTGGACAGCTGAAAAGGGACCTCCGGAAGCTACAGCTGGCGACTCCCACTTTGCCTGGACTGCACCAAGAACACACGATGGGGTCTCAGCAGGAAGTCTACTGCTTGGACCTCAGTAAAGTGTACTAAAACTTGAACTGTGTCTTACATACCTGTGATCACTACAAGAAGATGGCCCAAGACCTGGCCGAGGAATAGAAGTAAGACACTTCCAGTTCTCAGAGAGAAATCCTCTTCTATGAGAAAACGGCCCAGGAAGGCTGGGCGGCCACCTTATCTACTGAGAGACCACTCCAGGTACTCTGGAAAGAAAGTAAATGCAACAGGCAGAAGCTGGCTGACTGAGAGGCCAAGTTCCAGCCTTTCCCAAGGGGCCCTTTGGCTCCTAGGGCTCCACCTATAGCCCACAGGGGCCTGGAAATACCAGGGGGACTGTGGCCTACTAGGGACCCAAGGAGGGAGGCTGGTCATGATGTGTGAGCTTGGGTCCACAGCACCTGCTGATTTGATTCTGTTTTCCCTGTAGCCAGGTCCTAAACACCCAGAGACTCACCAGAACATCAGCTGGTGCTGCTCACTTTAAAATACTTTTGATTGATCTCTTGTCAGTTTAGCTACTGTTCATTAGTTGTTGCTGAAATTGCTTTCACTGAAGTTTGATAGATCGTGTTAGGATTGCAAGGTACTATTTTTCAAATAAAGATTGTTTAATATAAAAAAATGCCTCCAAATATCAGTGATTTAACATGAGACATTTATCTCTTGCTTATGTCGCAATGTGATGTTGGCATTCCTGATCAAAAGGTGGGCATTCCAGGAAACATTCAGAAGCTCAATTTCCTTCCATTTTGTGTTTCTGCCTCCTCAGAGCCTCAGGGGCCTATGTAATTTAGACGACGATGAGGAAAGAGATAATACAGAAGAGACCTCAAACTGGAAAAGACATGTATCATGTCTACTCACAGTCTGCTCATAGAAACTAATCACAAGGTCTTGCCTAGATGCAAAGGGTTCTGGGAAATGTCATCTCTTGCTGGGCAGCTGCTTTCTAGCTAAACACTGTATCAAGGAACACAAAGCACACATTTTGGTGGAGAACTAGCTGTCTCTTCTACAGAAAGTGTTGGACATTACATTTTACCTTATTTTAAAAGAAACAACAACACGACATTTGTTTAATTTTAATTAAAATGTGTGAATCTAAGGCTACAAAATTGTGTTACAAAAATATAATTTCATTTCCTATAACTCAAAATAATTTGCATTTTGAAGCATCATCCCTTCAGTACAGCAAGAAAATTTAACTGGGGTCTCTAAAGTGTTTCCTTCCCAGAATTTATGTCAGAATTCTGGAATGAATTTCTGAAATGTCGGGGATCGGGGCAGGAATCTTTTGATGGATTATTGTTGACATGGGTCCTCATGAGATGTCCACTAGAGAAGAAGTCGTGCTCTTTAGTTCTAGTGATTTTGTTATGCTATTCTCAGGGCATGGGAATTTTTCTGTGTCTTCTCACAAACCAGTCCCCTAGAATGGAGGCACTGAGGTAGAAAGATGTTGTTTCCCTTTGCTCTGAGATCCCAGATGTTTTTCAAGCACTACTCTCCAATCCTAATCCCAAAGGGAGGAGTGTAGCAATAAATCTTAGGAAGGGAAATCCTTCTTTCAAGTTTCTGGCTGCTAAGTTTGGACATGGTTTGTTTTTCCCCACCAAATCTCATGTTGAAATTCGATCCCCAGTGTCACAGTGTTGGCAAGTGGGCTGTAATGGGAGGTGTTTGGATCATGATGGTGGAATCCTCATGAATAGATTAACACCCTTTCTAAGCAGTTAATGAGTTCTCACTCTATTAGTTCCCAAAAGAGAGCTGGTTGTTAAAAAGAGCCTGTCCCCTCCTCCCTCCTGCTCTCTATTGCTTCCTCTCTCACCTTGTGACCTCTGCACATATCTGCTCTCCTTCACCTTCTGCCAGGAGTGGAAGCAGCCTTAGGCCCTCATCAGATATACATGCCCAGTTTCGAATCTTCCAGCTATCAGAATTGTGAGCCAAACAAACCTTTGTATAAAGATAAAAATTTATCTTTATAAATTACCCACCCTCAGGTATTTCTTAATAGCAATGCAAAATGACCAAGACACTGACCAAAATGTTTTGTCTATACCCCAAATGCTCCCTTTTTTTCTGAAGTTTAAGCTGTACTTCAAACATGCAAGTCAAACATGCAAGATAGATTTCCCCATCGAGATCTTTTTACTTTTAATTAGTAATGGTTCACCAGCACTTGGAAGAGTACTGGGCACATAGTCATCACTCAATAATATTTATAGGATGAATGTCCTTCAAGGCAGATGACATAATCCTCATTTTACAGAAATGAATACTGGGACTCAGAAAGGCTAAGAAAATTGCAAAATGTTCCAAATCTAGTAAATGGGAAGGCCAGGAATTTAACCCAGGAAGTCAGTCTGCAATCATATTTATTTTAAAAACCCTTTGCTTTCTTCCAACTCATCTGTAATGCATTAGAGAAAATCCTGGACTTGGATATAAAAACTCCCTGTCTTACTGTATTTGTGATTTTGGGCAAATCACTTAATCTCATTATATGGTTCAGTTTCCTCATCTGCAAAGTGCAAATAATGACACATTTCTCACAGATGATTGGGAGGTTTAGATAGTGATAAATTGACCACTGGGAAGATAGGTAGTTATGTCAGTCATCCGTGGTCACCATACACAACAGTGAAGCAGACAACCATGCAACCACAGTGACATAAAACTGTCAATTGATAGCTCACACAACTGGGGTCAGTTAGGGTCCAGCTAGGGTCCAGCTAGGCAGTTCTGCTGATCTTGGCTGGACTCATTCATGTATCTGGGGTTAGGCTGGCTGTCAGCTGCACTAGGCTGGCCTTCACTTGGATGACTGGGTGATTCATCTCTTCCATTTATTTCTCATCCTCCAGCAGGTTACCCCAAGAATGTTGTCATGGTGATAGCAGAGGCACAATAGAGCAGATGAAAACACATAAATTCTCTGAAGTCAAGGCTTAGAAGTAGTACACCATCACTTCCACTGCATCCTGTTGACCGAAGCAGGTCACATAGTCTAGCCTATTTAAAGACTGGGGGAATTGACTGTTTCTCTTCAGTAGGATGACTTGCAAAGTCAGAGGGCAAGGGGCATGGATATAGAGAGGGAAAATAATTGGGCCATTAATGGGATCAATCTTTGACAGTAATTAATACAGTTTAGTTCAATCTAATGTGTATTGGGGCATATTAAAACTTGGAATCCACTTAATGATTCCTCTGGAAGCTATTTCATAACCTTGTTTTAGCTTCTTTCCCTTCTGTTTCATTAGATGAATCCCTAGCTACTCTCTGGAAAAGAGAAGGGTGGATGGAACCCCCTCAGGGGATATAGGCCTGTTTTCTAACTGGAGATTTTCCCTAACTGTGCATATGTCTACAATTAGTAGATTACCAATGTGTATGTCACTCTCCCTTTTTTCTGAAAAAAGGAAAATCGCTCTCTTGTTTCCAAGTAAGGTTTAAGCATTTCTCTATTTGGGGTTGTAGGTAAAAATCCATCAGCACAGAGATCTGGGACACCTACCAAGCTCCTCCTTGTACTGCACAAGGGCAAGGACTCCAGGTATACTGGGCACAACGTGGATGTTTTATTGACCTTGCGCATCACCTAACCGTTCTCCACTGTGCTAGCTTTGAAGACAAAGGGAGTTAGGTGAGCTCCACAGTCTCCTGGTATGGGAGAGACAGAGAGAAACTCTGGGTTTGATATGTTCTTTTAAATAACATGGGCGTACATCATTTTATTGTGCCTTGCAGATATGGCATTCTTTACATATTGATGGTTTATGGCAACCCTGTGTCAACTAAGTCTATCAGCAACATTTTTCCAACAACATGTGCTCACTTTGTGTCTCTGGGTAACATTCTGGTTATTCTCACAATGCTTACAATTTTTTCATTACTATACATATTATGGTGATCTCTGATCAGTGATCTTTGAGGTTACTATTGTAATTCTTTTGGAGGTACCACAAACTGCACCCACATAAAATGGCAAACTTAATTGATAAATGTTGGGTGTGGTTGGACTGCTCCAAAAACTAGCTGTTCCCCATCTCTCTACCTCTCCTTGAGCCTCCCTATTCCCTGACACGAAACATTATTAAAATTAGGCCGATTAACAACCATACAATACCCCCTAAGCGTTCAAGTGAAAAGAAGAGTTGCACATCTCTTACTTGAAATCAAAATCTAGAAATGATTAAACTTAATGAAGAAGGCATGTTGAAAGCCAAGACAGGCCAAGAGTTAAGCCTCTTGTGCCAAACAATTAGCCAAGTTTTCAAAGGAAAAGTTCTTCAGGGAAATTAAAGTGCTTCTCCAGTGAACACATGAATAAGAAAGCAAAACAGCCTCTGGCAATATGGAGAAAGTTTGAGTGGGCTGGATAGAAGATCCAACTAGCCAAAACGTTCCCTCAGGCCAGAGCCTAATTCAGAGTGAGGCTGTGACTCTCTTCAATTCTAGGAAAGCTAAGAGATGTGAGTAAGCTGCAGAAAAAAAGTTAGAAGTTAGGAGAGGTTGGTTCCTGAGGTTTAAGGAAAGAAGCCATCTCCATAACATAAAAGGCCAAGGTGGAGCAGCAAGTGCTGATGGAGAAGCTGCAACAAGTCATCCAGAAGATCTAGTTAAGATCATTAATGAACATGGCCATAATATCAGCATTAACAGGAATTTGGAAGATGATTCCAACTCTTATGGATGACTTTGATGTGTTCAGGATTTCACTGGAGGAAGTCACTGCAGATATGGTGAAAATAGCAAACAGCAACAACGAAAACCTAGAATTAGAAGTGGAGATTAAAGATGTGACTGAATTGCTGCTGTTTCATGATAAAACTTGAGTGGATGAGCAATTGTCTTTTTCTGGATGAGCAGAGAAAGAAAGTAGTTTATTGAGATGAAATTTACTCCTGGTGAAAAGGCTGTGAACATTGTTAAAATGAAGACAAAAAATTAGAATATTAAATAAACTTAGTTGATAAAGGCAGGGCCGAGGGAATTCACTCCAATTTCAAAAGAAGTTACATTGTGGGTAAAATACTATCAAAGAGCATTGCATGCTAAAGAGAAATTTTTTGTGAGAACAAGTGTCAACTGATGTGGCAAACTTCACCGTTGTTTTATTTTAAGTAAGTGCCACAGCAACCCCAACTTACAGCAGCCACCACCCTGATACCTGGCTCAACAAAGCTGTTTGGACCAAAGGAATAAGGCATGTCCCATCCACGTGCAATTGTCCAGAAAATGTAATGAGGATAAATCTTCATCAAATAAGCTCTATATTTGGGTTCCCTATGTACCTGTTACTATCAAAAATCTATAAACAGTCAATGTGGATGAGAGCTAATTGCTGCTTGTCAAATAAAGTTATAAAACCACACACACAAAAAAAGAGAAAGCAAATAAATACCTGACCCCTTTTTGAGCCTGCCACCTCAAGGACCACAGTTGAATTTTGCTTTCCTGATCTGTATCTGGCCATTCCAAGCTATGTGGATGATAGGTAGTGTTGCTGTAGGACCCCTTAAACTCAAGTCCCCACAGGCACAAAGGCTTATCTCTGCTCACTCTGAGGCTGTTACTGATCTTATTTCACAATAACGAAAGGAGACCTATTTATTAGGAACTCATCTCCTGCCTGCAGTCTCAGGGAGTCAAACCCTCTTTTCATCCAGCCACCTGGCTCGGTATTTTGGAAGAGGCTAGATGAGGGTACCCTCTCTGATTCTAACTGAGCCACACAGCCAGGCTTTGATTATCCTAAGAACACATTTCTTCCAGTTCGGCAAGTTCAGAAATACCTAGGTAATTAATTTTTCTTAGAATCTGCATCATAAAAATCTCTGCTGAAATGAAAGCTGGCAGTAACGATTTCAAGGTAAGTGAAGTCCCAATCTTAAAACTGGTTCTGTTCACTGAAATATTTATCCAGTTCTTCAGATATGCTAGATGGGAAGATACATGCCTGCCTTCAAGGAGATCACAGTCTGGAAGGTGAAGTAGATAACTAGATCAATACCAAGAGTAACTGGGGCAGGTGCAAGAGAATGTTACATATAACTTTTTTAGTTGTCTTTGAACGATGGAGAGGTGGAGATAAATGCCATGTGGAAACTAAAGAGCTGCCAGATATTTCTCAGATGATTTGCATCTCCAACTGTCTCCCCATTACTCCCCTACTGCCAGCCTATATAAAAAGAATTAGCAGGGCCTGGCATGGTGGCTCACGCCTGTAATCTCAGCACTTTGGGAGGCCGAGGTGGGTGGATCACTTGAGGTCAGGAGTTCAAGACCAGCCTGGCCAACGTGGTGAAACCTTGTCACTACTAAAAATACAAAAATTAGCTGGGCATGATGGCACACGTCTGTAATCCCAGCTACTCAGGAGGCTGAGGCAGGAGAATTGCTTGAACTTAGGAGACAGAGGTTGCAGTGAGCCGAGATCGCACTGCTGCACTCCAGCCTGGTGGATAAGAGTGAAACTCCATCTCAAAAAAAAAAAAAAAAAAAAAAAAAAGAATTAGCAGATTTTGTTGGAGACTTTGGGGTTGAGTTTCAGGTGGAAACTTACTCCGTCCTATAGGATATGGGAAGGGAAGGTGCTCCCTTCCTCCAGTCAAGGGAAAAGGGCACCATAAGTCTGGTTACTTGGAAGAAAGAGGGACTTGCTTTCTTTGCCTCACTGCTCTGTGCATTTGTTGCCCTATCTCTGGATTTTTTGATCAGATTAAAGTGATTGGTGAGAGATGATAGAGGGAAGGGAGCAGCTCCACCTCCACTTTCTGAATAGGGGAAGTTCTTGAGTTTCCAGATGAGTCAAATGGACAATAGGGTCCTGATCCTGAGCCGTCTTTTCAGTACCCCAGCCAGTAGAGAGTCAGAGGGGACAACATGAGCTGTGGATTACACCTTGAGGGTAGAAGATAAAGAGATGGAGAAGAGTCTGATGAGGTCCCTGTAGAGTAGAGAACTTCTTCTTGCCAGGGAACTATGCCCTTGGAAACATCTTCACAGGCTTCCACCAGAAAGTCAGCCTGTGGGCACCCTGCACATGAGAGCAGTATCGCAGCAGCACCAGCAAGATGCCCTTCTCTGCATATCTGGATTATGGACCATATTCTCAGTCATTCTTAATTTTTTATTTTTAACAGATGGGGTCTTGTTATGTTGCCCAGGGTAGTCTCTAACTCCTGGGTTCAAGTGATCCTCCAGCCTTAGCCTCCAGGCACACCCTACTGTACCCACCTCCTTATTTTCTCAGTCATTTTAAATGAACTGTAAATTTCTATGTCTTGCCCAAAGTTGTGGTTGGAAGCACTGTCTATTCTACAAATACCCAGACAATACAGGGGTTCAGTTCCTGGGAGGAGTTTGCCTGAAGAAGCAAATCTGGTATCAGATCCTAAAACTGACATGTTTTCTTTTTATCTTAATGCCAGTAACCTCAGAACCATACCCTTGCCCAATGGGGACAATTAGCTCATCTCTCTCATCCAGAAACATCATCCTTTGCTCCCTTAAGTGACCCTTACCCTTCTAATTGTGCTGTTTGACAGTTGGTTTAATTTTGCAGACTGCCTCATGCCTCCTTGTTAGTGTTGACTCCAATTTTAGTCTTGCATGTGTGTTCCCCAATGTGAGATGTGAGGAGTGACACATTGACATCGTGGGCCTTCAATCTGGATCAAAGGGTATCTGTTGTCCAAATACACAAATGACCACAGCTGAAAGCAGAAATGTAAATCTGACTCTAATCAGTGAATTTGCTAAGCTAGCATAGTTCCTATTTTTAAGAATTAGCTACAGTTTACTTTTACATATATTTTTGCTCTCTGAGCTCTCTGTAGTTAGAAAAAGCCCTAATTTCTAACTACAGAGATTGGCCCAGATTCAAGAGGAGAGGACATAGGACCCATCATTTGACAGGAGGAGTCCCTTCAAGTTTGAGGCCACGTTTTAAAATTACCACGATTATTATCTGGAGGAGAGACTTTTCAAGTGATGTGCAGTCTTGCAAAATTTATTTGTGATGCTTGTTTTTAGCTTTAACCAGAAAACATTACCTCCTGAAGCCAGTTAGGGAATCTTAGGAAGATTTTATTTCTGTGATTTTTGTAATGAAAGATGATTGGCCAGGCATGGTTGTTCATACTTCTAATTCCAGCACTTTGGGAAGCTGAGTCAGGAGGATCACTTAAGCCCAGGAGTTTGAAACCACCCTAGGCAACATAGGGAGAATCTATCTCTACAAAAAATTTTAAAAATCAGTGGGACTTGGTGGCACATGCCTGTGGTTCCAGTTACTCAGAAGGCTGAGGTGGGAGGATTGCTTGAGCCCAAGAGGTGGAGGCTGCAGTGAGCCATGACCACACCACTGTACTTTGGCGAGGTGTCCAAGGTGGCTCTTGTGGCTGACATAGGATACTGGTTGTCAGCCGGGAGCTCACCTAGGCCCTTGATGGAGGCACCTTCATATGGCATTTCCAACATAGTGGCCTCAGGGTAGTTGGATTTCTTACATCATAACTGGCTTCCCCAGAACGAGCATCACAAGAGAACTAGCAGAAGCCACATAGCCTTTTCTGACCTAGCCTTGGAAGTTACCTGGTGTCACTTCTGCTGCTTTCTGTTGACTACAAGCAAGTCACCAGGGTTGGTCCAGACTCAAATTAAGGGCGCATAGAACCCATCTTTTGACAGGCAGAGCCCCCAGAATTTGAGGACATGTTTTAAAATTACCATGATTATTATCTGGAAGAGAGATTTTTTCAAGTGGTATCTGGTCTTGCAAAATATATGGGACTATTTAGGGAAACTACTTGAGATAAGGCTGAAGCCATCCTTACATATGCCTGGGATCTGAATCTATACCAACAAAGCCTTCTACACTCCCTCTTCACCTACACTTTCTATTAGGCTAATTGAGGCAGTGGTTTCTCTACTTATTCCATTTAATATTGGGTTTTTAAATAGCAATTTGGGACAAAAACCTAGGCTGTCACAACTAGTACCAGTGTTAATAGTTGCAGCATACTGATAAAAAGGAAAATTCTGCCCTCCTAAAACAAGTTTCCTTGTTTGGATTTAGTAATATAAAACCAAATATTAACATATAGTCATGTGTTGCTTAATGATGGGGATAAAATTCTGAGAAAAGTGCTATTAGGTGATTTTGTCATTGTGCAAATATCCTAGAGTGCACTTACAGAAGCCTAGATAGTGTAGCCTATTACACACCTAGGCTATACAGTATAGCCTGCTGCTCCTAGGCTACAAACATGTGTAGCATGTTACTGTACTGAATACTGTAGGCAGTTGGAACACAATGCAAAGTATTTGAGTATCTACATATATATAAACATAGAAGAGGTACAGTAAAATGTGGTATTATAATCTTATGGGACCACCATCACTTCAGTGGTCCATTCTTGACCTAAAAGTCATGATGAGGCACACAACTGTATTAACTATTTGTCCTACTATAGAATTATTAGCAGAGAATATAAGGTAATTTATAACATCAGATATCACACATGTATCATATTACAGCAACCACCCCTGAAGTATAGTCACTGATTATTCAGTCTATTTCTACCTGCAACCTTTCTCAGCTTCTTAGGCGTACACCTTGCTGCCATCTGGCTCCCTCCACTCTGGAAGGACTTTCACTGAGAAACAACATATTTTACAACACAATTTTGAAGATCCTGGTTTCTCCCTACAAAAATCTTTAAGAAAACCTTTTGCAACTACATAACCTTTTGAACTAGCTGGGAGTATAAATATTACTATATCATGTTTGTTACAGCCCCGCTGAGCAAGATGCCTCCTGAGGCTTCTCTCCTCCCCAAATTGTCCAGAATTTCAGTGCATATGGGTCACTAGCTCAGTTCAATGGGGTCAGACTTATTTCCCATCATCAGGCAGAGAGGGGACTGGTAGCGCTGACCAGTCTAATGCATTTGCTTTGCTATCACATGGGGTCACTGCTGAACACAAACCTTGCACAGCCCCAAGAATGCCTGCCCATTGCTGTAGGATGCTGGTCTGAATTTGTTATGTGGTGGTGCTGTACACCAGGTTAATCTTTGAAAGTTACATTGCTTTGGTGTTTATAGCAAGTGATTTTAAACATTTTTTGACCAAGACCCTCAGAAGAAATGCATAGAAGAAATACATTTCACAACATGATCTAAGACACACATACAAAAAAAAAGTCATGGAACAATGCATAGCCTTAATATTTAAAAACCTATTCTTTTTTTCCTGATGAATGTGAATTACTAAATTGATATTATAACTGATAGGGTTTGGCTGTGTCCCCACCCATATCTCATCTTGAATTCCCATGTGTTGTAAGAGGGACTTGGTGGGAGGTAACTGAATCATGGGGGCACATCTTTCCTGTGCTGTTCTCGTGATAATGAATACATCTCATGAGATCTGATGCTTTTAAAAAGAGGAGTTCTTCTGTACAAACTCTCTCTCTTTGCCTGCTGCCATCCATGTAAGACGTGACTTGCCTCTCTTTGCCTTCAGTCATGATTCTGAGGCATCCCCAGCCATGTGGAGCTATAAGTCCACTAAACTTCTTTCTTTTGTAAATTGCTCAGTCTAGGATATGTCTTTATCAGTGGCATGAAAACAGACTAATACAATAACAACAAATAATCCATGACTATTGAGTCATGGATTTTTGTTGTTGTTGTCGTTGTTGTTGTTGTTGTTGTTGAGTTGTTTGAGTTTCTTGTAGATTCTGGATATTAGTCCTTTGTCAAAGGCATAATTTACAAATATTTTCTCCCATTCTGTTAGACTGTCTGTTTATTCTGCCGAATTTTTTTCTTCTGTGCTGAAGCTTTTTACTCCAAGTCCCATTTGCCTATTTTTTGTTTTTGCTGCATTTGCTTTTGGGGTCTTCGTCATAAATTCTTCACTTAGACCAATGTCCAGAAGAATTTTTCTTAGGTTTTCTTCAAGTATTTTTATAGTTTCAGGTCTAATGTTTAGGTCTTTAATCCATCTTGAGTTAATTTTTATATATAGTGAGAGATGGGGGTCCAGATTATTCTTCTGCATATGGCCAGCCAGTTTTCCCAGCACCATTTATTGAATAGGGTGTCCTTTTCCCACTGTTTATTTTTGTCAACTTTATATAATGTCAGTTGGTTGTAGGTATGTGGCTTCATTTCTGGGTTCTCTACTCTGTTCCATTGATCACTATGTCTATTTTTGTACTGGTACCATGCTGTTTCAGTTACTAGAGGCTTGTAGTATAATTTGAGGTCAGGTAATGTGATGCCTCTGGATTTGTTTGTTTTTTGCTTAGGAGTGATTTGGCTATTTGGGCTTTTTTTTGGTTCCATATGAAATTTAAGATTGTTCTTTCTAATTATGTAAAAAATGATGTTGGTAATTTGATAGGAATTGTATTGAAACTGTGGATTACTTTGGGTAATATGGTCATTTTAACAATATTGATTCTTCCAATCCATAAGCATGGGATGTTTTTCCACTTGTTTGCATTGTCTGCAATTTTTTTCATCAGTGTTTTGGAGTTTTTCTTGTAGAGATCTTTCACCTCCTTGGTTAAATGTATTCCTAGATTATTTTTGTGGCTATCATAAATAGGATTGAGTTTTTAATTTGTTTCTCAACTTGAACGTTATGGGTATATAGAAATGCTACTGATTTTTGTATGTTGATTTTGTATTCTGAGACTTTAATGAAGTTGCTTTTCAAGTCCAGGAGTCTTTTGGAGGAGTCTTTAGGGTTTTCTATGTATAGAATTATGTTATCAGTGGGCAGATACAATTTGACTTACTCTTTTCCAATTTGGATGCCTTTTATTTATTTCTCTTGTCTGACGGCTCTGGCTAGGACTTCCAGTACTATGTTGAATAGGAGTGGTGAGAGTGGGCATCCTTGTCTTGTTCTAGTTACTAGGATAAATGATTTCAACTTTTGTCCATTCAGTATGATGTTGGTTGTGGGTTTGTCATATTTGGCTCTTATTATTTTGAAGTATGTTCTGTTTGTACCTAGTTTGTCAAAGGTATCACAAAATGATGTTGAATTTTATCAAATGCTTTCTCTGAGATAATCAAATGGTTTTTGTTCTTAGTTCTGTTTATGTGGTGAATCATGTTTTTTGATTCGCATATGTTGAACTATTCTCGCATCCCCTAAGTACTTTATATTTCTGACTCATGAAATTCTCACAATGATCCCCATGATACAGATAAAGAAACTGAGGCACAGGTAAATACCTAGCTTATCTGTAGTGACATTGGTAGGAAATGGTGGAGCCAGAACATGAACCTAGGTATTCTGGCTCCAAAGACCAGTTTATTAATGACTAAGATGCATTACTTTTCTCTAACAGTGGTTCTCAAAGTTTGGTCCATGGGCCAGCATTATTAGTAGCATCTAGAAGCTGGTTCAAAATGCAGACTCTCAGGCCCTTCCCAGGCCTGCTGACTCAGAAACTTCATGTTAACAAGATCCCCAGGTAGTTTGTGAGCTCATTCACGGTAGAGAAGCACTGCTCTGGAGTCATGTGTTCCTGCTCACCTTATAATTGCATAACCTCAGAATCATCTGACTCTTCTTTCTTTGTTACATGTGACACCCAATCCACCAAATTGGATTGCCTTCATCCAAATCCATCCAGCCAATTCTGGCAACAGTTTATTGAAGTATATTTAGAATCTACCACTTCTCAGGACCTCCACTGATCACTACCTTGTACTGAAGCTCCATCTCTTCTCCCTGGATTTGCTGAGACTCCTATGTCCCCCCTGGTCTCCTTACAGTTTGTTTTCCCACAGCAGCCAGCCAGCACACAGACATTGTCACTCCTCTGCTCAAACCATCATAGGCTTTCTCAATCTACTCAGAAAAAACTACAAGGTGCCACATGATGGCCCCTTTGTGCCCTCACCTCTATGACCTTAAATCACTTATTTCACTGCAAGCTTGCTCTGCTTCAGGCACCCAAGCTTCCTTGATATCCCATGAGTTTACAAACCTTGCTGTAGCCTCTTCTTTGCATTTCCTGCATACATCTGCATAGCCTGCTCTCTTATTTCCGGGGATCTTGGCTTGAATATCTGTGCAGCCTTCCTCAGTCATCTTCTATAAAACAGCAAGTCTTCCCCCATCTCCAGCATTCCCATCCTTCTACTTACTTTTCCTCCGTAGCACTCTTTGATAGCTGATTACTATACACTTATATTTTTATTTGTTTATTATCTCTTAGCTACATTGAAACATAAGTTCTACTCACTGCTATGATTGCTTCTACACATAGTAGGAGCTCAGTTAAAACTTGTTGAATAAATGAAGGAATGAATGAATGAAGGAGATACTCAAGTATTGAGGTGAGAACTAAGATAAGCTAGAAATGCATTTCTTTTTCTTAAAAAAAAAATTCTTCATCCCTAGACCCTCTAAAACACAAAACAAAACAGGTCCATTTTAGAGGATATTCTTGACACCTTACAAAAAGTAGTCAATAATAAATAATGAAAGGCTTTTTTGAAGGACAGATGAATAAATAAAGCAATTAACTTTCAGATTCTGCCATTTAAACTAAATGATGTAGATGATGGTGCAGAAGGCATTGTCCTGCTTTTCTAGGCCAGCTGATTTAGGGAAATCTCTGATGGGCTGTAGTTATTATTGAGAGTAGGCTTAGGACCTGGTTACTTATGATGATGGCTACTGACCATAAACTACTCTTGGTTTCAGACTGGGCATAGCATGGACTGCACCCCAGAAGCTTTTCATGACTATGCTAAAATAAGGTGAGGCAGAGAACTGTTCTAAAACAACAGAAAGGACAAAAGCATGGATAGAATACTTGGAATGTGCCAGAGAGCATGCAGATAACATCACATGGATTTTCTCATTTAATCCTCACCACAACTCTATGAGGACATAGCACCTTCCGTCACTATTGTATATGTGGGTATGTGTATGTATATATACATACACACACACATATATATATAAAACAAATACATATATATTTGTTTGTTTGGTTGGTTGGTTGTTTTGTTTTGTGTTTTTGAGACAGAGTCTCACTCTGTTGCCCAGGCTGGAGTGCAGTGGCACCATCTTGGCTCACTGCAACCTCTGCCTCCTGGGTTCAGGTGATTCTCCTGCCTCAGCCTTCCAATTAGCTGGGATTATAGGCGCCCGCCACCATGCCTGGCTAATTTTTGTATTTTTAAGTACAGATGGGGTTTCACCATGTTGGTCAGGCTGGTCTTGAACTCCTGACTTCAAATGATCAGCCTGCCTCAGCCTCCCAAAGTGCTGGGATTACAGGCATGAGCCACCATGCCCAGCCCCATCACTGTTTTAAAGATGAGAAAACCAAAGGGATAGCACATCTTGAATAATTCAGTGTAAGAATCGGAATTATCCTGTTTGCAGAGCACTTCCACCATGCTCTTTCCAGAGCCTTGTGATGCTCTGTGAGATCCCAGGGCCCTGGGCTGGAATCCCTGATAGACAGTGACAGAGCTGAACATGGGAGGACAAATGGTTCCCCAAATTAGAGACTGGGTTGAGATTTGGCACCATGTTGCCTGAGTCCCAATATCTCATTCTCTCTCCACATACTATATCAGAATCACTGCCTTCACAAGAAGGCAAACAAATAGTACTGGCAGTACAATGCAACCAGCAAACAAACAAAATCTGGCCATTCCCCCAGAGGGAATGTGAGGCATTCATTAGTTTGGAGAATTTAAAATGACCCTGGGCTCTGAAGCTCAAAAACCAGTGAGGACAGGTCCAATCCCTCAGGGATGGGCTTCCTTTAGCCAAGTTTGTTCATTTAAGAGGCACGAAGATCTAAACATGCTAAATCAGGATTTGCTTATTTCTGCTTTCTCCCTGTGCAGAGCAAAGGTGGAGGCTGAGGAATTGTTAGGATGGAGTGAGTCCCAGGGTAGTCAAACACATCTTGTGGTGCCACAAGCCATTTCCCAGAGTGCAGTTCTGAAGCAGGGATTGGCAAAAGACAACCAGCAGCCAAATCCAGCCATGCTGATTCCTAGATACATTGTCTGTGGCTGCTTTCCTGCTACAAAGGCAGGTTGAGTAGCTGCGGCAGACCATATGGCCCGCAAAACTGAAATATCTGCTATTTTTAGAAAAAGTTTCCCGATCACTACTTCAAACTTTCAAATGCCAGTCATAGTAGCTAGGATAATGGCCAGGTCTCTCCCCCTCCTGTGAGTGTCTGCTCGGGGGTCCCAGTGTGCTTACAGCCATACCTCAGGGAAATAGTACCTTCCTTCTTTATCCCATCTCAGCACCCAGACCATGCTGGAGGGAGCCTGCTTGCTGAGTCGAAGCTGTCCTTGTTGAATCATTAAAGGGAGGGAAGCCGGTGCAGGGCGAGGGGCTTCTTGCTCCTGTATTAACCCCAAGTGTCAATATGTTGCCCCAGCAGTAGCAACTCTGATAGTGGTCTCCTTGTCAGCAGGGCAAAACTCAGTATAGGGAGGTCTCATCCCAGCTGACCAAAGCTCCCTGGGTTCAACCTGGGGTTGGATGACGGGCCCAGCTGTGGTGCTTACTGCCAAATAGGCTAAGGTCGATCAATGCTGTGTTAAGAGGAGAGTGACTTAGAGAAAATGTTGGTGAGTGGGGTGTATGTTTCTCCAGTGAATGCTGGTCCTGTCTTTGCTAGCAGAACCATTGACAATTTTTTTTAACAGAAGTGTGGTAGTAAAACCTAAATTCCTGTTGCTCAGCTTCAAGGTGATGCCTGGTGTTTCTCAGATCAAAGGCTGTGAGCTGTTAGATCTGCAGCAGCCCCAAGGATTACAGCTACCTTCACACTGGAGAAGGACTACTTCCTCCTTAGGATCTCAAAAATTACCCCACCTTTATCTCCTACACAAGGTATTCAGGAGCCTTTTCCCCCCTGAGCTTTTCTTTTTTCTTTTCTTTTTTCCTTTTTTTTTTTTTTTTTGAGATGGAGCCTCACTCTGTCGCCCAGGCTGGAGTGCAATGGCATGATCTCAGCTCACTGCAACCTCCGCCTCCCAGGTTTAAGCTATTCTCCTACCTCAACCTCTCGAGTAGCTGGGATTACAGCCACATGCCACCACGCCTTGCTAATTTTTGTATTTTTAGTAGAAGCGGGGTTTTACCATGTTGGTCAGGCTGGTCTCAAACTCCTGACCTCGTGATTTGCCCGACCCAGCCTCCCAAAGTGCTGGGATTATAGGCGTGAGCCACCGTGCCTTGTCCCCCCCAAGCTTTTCAAAACACAAATTTGTTTTTGTTGCTTTTTAATTCCCCATTTTCTAGAACAATGGCACCAACAGACCTCCATTTATATATATAAGTAAGGACATCACTTATGTGGCTTTTTTATTTTTATTTTTTACTGGTAGAAGATCTGTTTTGTGGTGTATTTTTTTGGAGTCTCTACTCAGAGCAGCTAGAAATATCTCTCACTAAAGAGAAGAAAATAATTGGATTGTAATATCTAATAGTCAAAATCTCTGGTAAAGGCTGCTGCAGTATTGGAATCAGAGGGTTGCTGAGTAAGCAAGGAAACAAAACACAAGGCAAACTCCAGGAGAGCTGAGTTCAAATCTATCATCTTCACCCTTGTTTCTCCATCCCTATTGTAACTGTAATAGATTCATTGCCCCATGAACATAGAAAGTCAATATGCAGAGACACTGGGTTGCAGCAGAGAAAGGTTTAATTACAGGGTCACCAAATGAGGGATAGGAGGGAATAATAAATCCACCTCCCAGAGGAATCGGGGGTTACGGTTTCTAAGGGTTTGGGAGTGGGCCAATGTGTGGAGATCATTGACTGGTTGAAGAGTGCAGGGTGAAGTCATGGGACAGGGAGGTAAAGACGCTGTATTCTCATGCTGATCCAGTTCCTCTGTGGGAGTCTTCAAACTGGTTGCTGGAATTCAGGGTCTAAAAAACCTTTTAAGGAATCCTTAAACAAGAGCCTTATGATTCCTATGTCAGAGATCCTGTCTATGGGAATGATGGGTTGCAAATCAATTCTTCCAATAATAAGACTTCCAATGTCCTAAAACTTTGGAAATCCTATCCATGGGGAAAATGGGGATGCAAATGGCTAGCATCTAGCGCTATATGACTTTTAGCAACAAGGAAGTGGGCCAAAATGCTGCCTGATTAATGCTTAATTTTAACTATATTTCTGTCTAGAACCCAGCATGCAATTCTTGTCAACTCTGTGGGGATAGGATGATTTCACCAGCACAGTAGCTGACATAGTAGGTGCTCAATAAAAATTTGTCACGTAACTGAATGATAAAGGAGAATTAGAATTAGTGGCTCAGGTTTGGAAGAGCCTGATGCCTCTGTCTCCCACCAGGGAAGTTCCTGTCTCTGGGATCGGATATGCTTTCTGTGGGCTACAACTGCAATGTTCACTTTGATCCAATGGTGCCAAGGTGGACACTGCTAAATTTTGTCATTATCAAACTGGTTTTGGCCAGGCATTATAGGCACATGCCTGTAAATCCAGCACTTTGGGAGGCCAAGGTGGGAGAATTGCTTGAGGCTAGGGGGAGTTTGAGACCAGCCTGGGCAACATGGAGAAACCTGGTCTCTACAGAAAAGCAAACAAAAATTAAATAGAAAACTTAGCTGGTGTGGTGGTGTGCACCTATAGTCCCAGCTACTCGGGAGGCAAAGGTGGGCAGATGACTTGAGCATGGGAGTTTGAGGCTGCAGTGAGTGGAGACTGTTCCACTGCACTCCAGCCTGGGAGACAGAGTGAGATCCTGTCTCAAAAAAAAAAACAAAACCAAAAAACAAACAGACAACAACTCTATATTTTTATGTGTTTCCAGGGCTAAGCTATTTCCCTTCTGCTGTGCACATCTTTCCTTTGATATGTTAATACATTTAATCAAGTCCTCATGCCCTCAAGCTAGTCTGCTTATTTCAATCCTGGTAGTGAGTAGGGACTTCCTCTTGGGAGCTAGGTCTGCTCAGAAGTGCACAGGAGAAAGCAGAACTCAGGTTTAAAATTTCAAGCAGAGCCTATGAATAAGTTTCAGGAATTTACCAAAATTGTACACAAACCCCTGGGTATGTGTGAGCATTTTTTTTAGGGACAGAATCCAGATATAATCAGATTCTTAAAGGGTTGACGACCACAAACCAGTTTTCAGGATTCTATTGCTTTCCATCAAGTCTCCAATCCATTGAGTATATTGTGCTGCTTTCTGTATAAAATTTATTTGAGAATCAGCTAAAAAAAAAGACAGAATCGCATAGGACCTCTAGAAGTGATTTATCATTTCATTTATTATGCATTAACTGAGCACCTACTATGTGCCATTCACATTACTAGGCACTGGCATATGAAGACTAAAATGGTATATGATTGATCAAGAGCTTGCACTCAGGTAGGAGAAAGAGGCAAGTAAATTAATAGATGCTGCTAGCATGCAATTAGAGAGATGTGCATGTTGAGTGCAAAAAGGAGAATCTAAATTGTGCCAATTAGGCTTCTGGGAAGAGCAAACTCTTGGGAAAATATTTTACAAAGTTACAGAACATTATTTAGTCTGAGAAATGGGGTAGTGGATGGGGATAATTCTGGTAGAGAAAAAAATATGTATTTAAAGACAGAGCTGTGAAATCATATGACATGCTCTGATTAGAGCAGTGGAAAAGAAAGTCATAGGGGTAGTTTAGTTTAGGCCTTAGTTACCAAGCTAAGAGTTTAGCAGAGGAAAGGAATAACAAGACATGTGTTTCAGAAAGCTTATTCTTTTTTTATTTTTTATTTTTTATTTTTTGAGGTGGAGTCTCACTCTGTTGCCCAGGCTGGAGTACAGTGGTGCGACCTCAGCTCACTGCAACCTCTGCCTCCCGGGTTCAAATGATTATCATGCCTCAGCCTCCAGAGTAGCTGGGACCATAGTCACATGCCACCATGACTGGCTAACTTTTTGTGTTTTTAGTAGAGATTGATTTTCACCATGTTGGCTAGGCTGGTCTTGAATTTCTGACCTCAGGTGATCTACCTGTCTTGGCCTCCCAAAGTGCTGGGATCACAGGCATAAGCCACTGTGCCCAGCCTCAGAAAGCTTATTCTGCAAGCACTGTGGGACGGATTGTTTGGGGCAGGGTGAGGCTGAGGTCTTTACCAATGGTGATGTGGTATGGGGGTGGGGAGGAAGAGAATGCAGACTAACACAATGCTTGGGAGATGTTAATGGAGAATGGGGAATGAACTTGGAGATTAATTGTGTATGGGTAAGAGGAAGTCCATGGTGAGTCCCAGCTTCTGCACAGAATAGTTTGGATGATAGACAAGGATCTAATTCACTTGAATATGTTTGGAAAAGGATTGTGGGTTTAACGACAAGCATATTTAAGGGGGCTGAAGAATTGGTGGATATCCAGGTAAAGAGATATTTAATAGACCTTTGCATATAGGTTTGAAACTCAGGATAAAAAGCATGTCTAGAAACATTGACTTGGGAATTTTTAACGTATATGTGATAGTTCAGTTTGGATGAAGGTCCCAATGAAAATATATAGAATGAGAATAAGAACCAAATAGAGAATTCTGAGATGTGCTGGAATTTGGAGATCAAGGGAAACATGAAGATTCTGGAAAAAAATTATAGTGAGAAGGATAGCCAGAGAGATTTAGGGGGAGAAAAAGAGGTAATGGAAAAGGAGGTATCAACAAAGGAGCGGTCAATCATGTCAAACCTTGCAGCAAGGTCAAGGAAGCCAAGGGCAGAAAACATCATTGGTTTGGTAGCTAATCCATTTGTCACTTAACAGGTGCATTTTCTTTGGCCTGGTGGGAACAGAAGCCGGACATGAAAAGGCAGTGAGTAAATGAGAGACGAGAAAGCAGAGGGAGCTAAGAAGCTTGGCTAGGGAGAAAATGAGAGAGCACGGACTCATGGAAGCAATTGTGAGATTGAAGGAATTGGTTTTGTTGTAAAGATTGGAAAGGATTTAATTACATTGACTCACCTTCTACTCAGGATCTGTAAAAGGAACGATGGAGAGTGAGAACAACTCTGAGTTTGTCTCTACAGTAGGAGAGGCTGGGGTCCAAAGAAGGAACACAAGAATTCACCTTGGCCTTGAAAACATTATGCGAGGTGAAAGTGTAATTTCCTGATAGGCTCTTCTTGCCTGATGCACAGATGGAGCTATTCGCTGAGACAGTGGTATTGCAGTAGAGAAAGAGTTTAATAAACACAGAGCTAGCCAGATGGAAGAATGGGAGTTTATTACTCAAATCAGCCTATCCAAAAGTTCAGAGGCTAAAGTTTTTCAAGGATAGTTTGGTGGGCAGGGGGTTAGAGAATGGACAATGCTGACTGGTTGGGTTGGGGATGAAATCATAGTGGATGGAAGCTGTCTTCTTAGGCTGAGCCATTTCCTACATGGGGGTCACAGGGCCAAGTTGAATCAGATCCTTGGTATGGGTAGTTAATCAATTGCCAGAATGAAAAATAATGAAAAATATCTCAAACACCAGTTTCAGGTTTTGCAACAGCAATGTTATCTGTAGGAGCAATTAGGGAAGTTACAAATCTTGTGACCACCCATATGAGACCCCTGAGCAAACACAATGACTAGTTATCTTTTAACTATAAGCAGGTCTTAGCAAAATTCAGACCTCTCCCGTAATTCTAATTTTGTGGCTTCTCATTAGTTTTATAAAGGTGGTTTCAGTTCCCAAACAAGGAGGGAGTAGTTTTGGGAAGGAGCTATTATTATCCTTGCTTTATGGTTAAAACATGAACTAAATTCCTCCCATAGTTAGTTTGGCCTATGCTCAGGAATGAGCAAAGACAGCTTGTAAGGTTAGAAGCAAGATGGAGTCAGGTATATCAGATTTCTCTCATTGACTTAATTCTGCAAAGGTGGTTTCCATGGAAGCCAGATACAAAAGGCCACATAATGCACGATTCTATTTGTATAAAATGCTACAATAGGCAAATCTATAGAGACAGAAAGTAGATTAGTGGTTTTCAGGGGCTGTTGGGAGGGGAGAATTATGAATGACTGCTAATGGTATAGGGTTTTTGTTTTTTGTTTTTGAGAATTTGGTAGTGGGGATGGTTGCACAACTTTGTGAATATACTAAAAATCACTGCATTGTACACTTTAAATGGATAAATGTGATGGTGTGTGAATTGTATCTCAATTTAAAAAAACTTAAAAGGAAAAAAAAAGAATTCTCTTTGGTTGGAGGAGAGCCTTCTTAATCCTGAGGCAGGAATGCCAAGAGGAGTATAAATGACATGTTTCTATTGGCAGGAGGCAGGGCCAGCTACATGATTTGTGGGATTCAGTGCAAAATGAAAATTGAGGACCCCTTCTTCACAATGATTAAGAATTTCAAGATAGTTACTGCAGAGCATTAAAGCAAGCACAGGGCTCTTCTAAGTGTGGGGCTGAGAAGACCCTTAGAAACCTTGTGTGGTTACACAGGTTTTGCACATTTATGAACTAGCCCTGGAGGAGGCAGAGCTCTCCAGATGGGCTTTCTTATGGAAATAAGAAGTGAGAGGAGGTACTAAAGCTGCTGAAATGAGAGAAAGGGTGACATTTGGAACTGTCCTTGAGGGGAATTAGAGAGAAAATCAACTATGGACTTGAAAGAGAGTTACCAGGCAAGGAAGAAAGCTAGGCATTGGTTGGAGAGCATGAATTTGTAGGAGTATCACTGTGATTTTTCACCATTGGTTCTCAAAAGACCAAATATAGAACTTAAAACAATGAGGAATGGTAGGAATAAAGTTTATCTGGGCAAATGTGATTGAAGATTAAAGGAACAAAGGAATAAAAGTTAATGATTAAACTAATTGAAATTAATAGATTTCAATTAGCTATTGAAAGAGGATGGGTTAGGGAAACTATCACCCTTAGAAGGTGCTCATATAATGCCTGGAAGTAGAATGGCCTATGGAGTTAAAATTAAAATGAAGTCCAAATGTAGAGAAATTGGAAGAAAGAAATGAAAGTCAAAGGATTATGGACTGTCATGGGATTTTTGGAATTTAAGATTTTAGGTGTGGAGTTCTGAGTTTTGTTAAGTTCAAGATCCAATTCTGTTCAGTTAAGGCTGCCTGAAATGATAATGACTCACAAAGCATCAAGATTCAAAAAAAAATTAATCTTAAGATCTAATTGGGGTAAGTTATTCTCCTACGTGGAAGGAATGTCCTCAACTACATACAGCAAATTGAGTGTTGATAGATGGTGTGGCATATGGTGTGACAGATGGGGAAAGTCGAGGAACATGTTTTTCCCTTGTCACAGAAGTGTTTTCTCTTGATGGCTTTGCTCTTTTATGGGGATAGCTGTGCTTCTTACAGTTCTCACCTCCTCTCCCCTCTACTACAGAGAAAGGAGGCGTCAGGCACAGCACTTGGAGGGAGAGGAAGAAGTTGGCCAGCATACAACTGTCCAAAGATCCACAGAACCATTTCTTCTTCAATTTATTTAAGTAAACTTTAGATTGATGTTTAACATACATATAGAATAGTGCACAAATCATAAGTTTATGCACCCATGGAGCCAGTATAGAAGGCCCTTGTTCTGTTTCCAGTAACAACTCCCCCACAAGGATAATGCCTATTCTAATTTCTAGCAGTGAAAATTAGTTTCTCCTGTTTTGTACTCTATAAATAAAATCATACAGGATGTACTCTTTTGTATTTGACTTCTTTTGCTCAATATCATGTGTATTAGTCCATTCTCATGCTGCTATAAAGGACGCACCCAAGACTGGGTAATTTGTTTAAAAAAGAGGTTTAACTGACTCACCGTTTTACAGGGCTGGGGAGATCTCAGGAAACTTACAATCATGGCAGAAGGGGAAGCAAACAAATCCTTCTCCACATGGCAGCAGCAAGGAGAAGTGCAGAGCAAAGTAGTGGGGAAGCCCCTTATGAAATCATTGGATACCGTGAGAACTCACTCTCACTATCACAAGAACAAGCAAGGAGGTAATCACCCCCATGATTCAATGACCTCTCCTGGGTCCCTCCCATGACACATGGAGATTATGGGAACAACAATTCAAGATGAGACTTGGGTGGGGACACAGCCAAATCATATCATTATGTTTTTGAGATTCATCTATGTTTGTTACATTAACTGTGGTGCATTCATTTTGATTGCTGTATAGTATTTTATTGTAAGAATATGCTACAATTTATTTATTCTACTATTGATGGACTTTTGGGTTGTTTCTAGTTTGGGCTACTATGAGTAGTGTTTTCTTATATATGTCTTATTGAACATATCTTTACAGTATTGCTGTATGTATGCTTAGAGTTAGAATCACTGGGTCCTAGAGTGCAGCACAGATATAGCCAGCTTTACTAGATACTACCAAAGAGGTTTTCAAAATGGTTGTGTTAATTTTTATTTTCACCAGCACTGTATAAAAGTCCCAATTGCTCTACATCTTTACTGACATTGGTATTGTCTGTCTTTTAAAAATTTAGTCATTCTTTTGGGTTGTATAGTATCACGTCATATTATTTTCTATTTGTATTTAACATGTATTTATTAAATAACCCATGGTGGACCTAGCACTGTGCTGGATTATGAAGGATACTCCTAATGTATTTGTCAGGATTCTCTGCTTTCAAGTGAGAGAAACTCAATTTGAACCAGCACAAGCGAAACCAGAAAAATTTATCTTCTGCATAAGTAATCTGTAGAAAAGAAGCTACAGCAGGGACCTGGACATCATCAGCTCTGCTTTCTCTGAGTTTTAGCTTTTCTACTGAAGGCAGGCTTCTTTATGCAGCTGGGCACATGGGTGATGGCAGGGCTGGGCTCTTAGTCCAAGAACAAAGGAGAAAAACGTAGCTTTTTATCACCAGTTGTAATAATAAAAGCCCTGGAGAAGTATTCTCACTGGAAAAGCTTAGATTGTATGCACATCTCTAGACCAGTCTTAGAGGTCACTGTTACAGGAATCAGGAGGAAAAATGGTAGATAACTTATTGTGATCAACATATTTGGGACAGGAGGCCAGCCTTTATCCAATTATTTTGTCCAGAGGAGCATTGATTATGGAAGAAGATACAATTTTTACACTAATGACATAGCTCAAATTGAGGAAAGAGAAATTCCACACAATGAGAAGGATAAACAGATGTGGTTCCTCCAAGAATCCATAGGAGCCAGGCCAGCATTATTTGGTAGATTATTTGTAAAAATGGCTGCAACTACTCTCCTCTCTGTATCAAAATCTCTTTGCAATGTGATATTAGCTTCTCCTCTTAAGACAAGAGTCTATATTCTCCTTCCTTAAATCTGGGCTGGCCCTGTGACTTCCTTTAATCAACAGAATTCAAAGAAGTAACAATTTGCCAGTTCTCAGCCTAGGCTCAATAAGCCTTGGCAGTTTTCACTCATTTTCTTGCCACTCTTCCTAGCTGTGACATGGTGAGCAAGCCTAAGCTAGAGGAAGAGAGAATATGTGGATCACAGACAAATTTGTCCATTTCACCCAGCTGAGGACTCAGACATGTGGGAGAATACAGCAAGATTAGCAAAACCAACCCATATGAGGGGACCTGGCTAGAACAAGGAGAATCATTCAGCTAAGTCTACCCTAAATTGCTAGCTCACAGAACTGTGAACTAACTATATGGGTATAATTAAATCATTTAGTGTGGGACTATTTGTTACTCAGCAATAGCTAATTGATAATACATATCCCAATTTGTGATTACTACATGAAAAAATTGCATGGTTTTGTTATTCTAAAAACTTATAATTTTGGTGAGAAAACAAAGCATTCACAAGCAAAAATATTAAAGAACAATATAAAGTAGTGTCAATCAAAGTATAAATAACGTGCAAAAAAAACCCCACGAGCTAATGTAATGAATGGGTGAGATTAAATATGATGCATTTAAAGAATGCTTCATGGAAATGCAGAGATTTGAGGAAGCTTTTGAGGAAATGAGAAAATGAACTACAGAAGAGGTAATAAAAGCCATTCCTAATGAGTGAGCAAAGGATTCACATTCAAATATGAAAATGAACAGGGCAGGTATGAAGGACAAATGACCTGCATGGAACTGTGCTTGGAGCCAATGCATTAATAATGGCAAGGAGAAAGAGAAAGGGTAAGAGAAAAGTGTGGCTCTATGAGTGAGGGCATAAGAGGGAAGCACAGGTAGCCAAGTGGAGACATATAATTTTGATTCATATTCTTTTTAGCAGGAATCTCTTAAAGTTTAAAAAAATATTTTGGCAGACTGTGGGAAAGATCCTAATCCTTTTCTACTTCCAATATCCATTCACTCTACAATGTAACTTTTTATCTCCTCCCCTCAATACATGTAGTCAATTTCTCCACTAGGTGAATCAGAACTAGTCTTGTGATTTGCTTTGCACAATAGAATGCAGAGGAAATGATGCTGTGCTAGTTTCAAGCTTAGGCTTCAAAAGGCCTTGGCTGTTTCCAATTATTTTTGGAACCTTGACTCTGCTGTATGAATAAAGCCAGGCTAGTCTGCTGGAGCATGAGAGACTTATGGAGCAAAGACAAGCCCTCATGGCTGACCCTTTCCTAAAAGAACTGATCCCTTCCCCAATCCAACATAGCAAAAAACCACAGATCTAAAAGGAAACCCTGCTAAGATCAGAAAAGCTACCCAGTTGAGTCCAGCCCAAACTGCTAATCTGTAGAATCATCCACTATGTAAAAGTTTGCTGCCTTAAGCTATGTTTTGGAATGGTGTATTACCCAGTAAAAACGGACTGACTCAGATGCCAACATCTGATGGGTGATATCTCATAGAAATATGCCATCTTCCCTTGAAAAAAAATCACATGATGTGAAAATACTGGGCCTGCATTTCTGTTTGAGAACAATTGTGACCTGGGCGATTCTACTTCTCTTAGATGAGAAATGCATAATCTAGTTTACTGCAATTCCCTCACTCACTATTGTCTTACACATGCCCTAATTTACTCATTCCCATTACTTGATTAGCCCTTATCAGTACATTAGTCTGCAACACTAGTTTAAGTAGTGGAACTGTTTGCAGGAGAGGGGATTTGGGGGGCAATAGAATGACATGATCAATGTAATGTGTAAAAAGGCTATTATGGTGGTAGGACTGGGGATGTGGAGGCAGGAGGTCAACAGGCTGAAAGTTGCTAGAGAAATTTTCGTATCTGAATTTAGAAGACATTGCAAATATAAAGTATCAAAAGACCTTGATAACGGAGTGGTTAATATGCTGAAAATGGAGACATTTCTAGTCAGAGATGATCCTGAAGTGCCTGGAAAATTGGTGTCATTAACAGCAGTAGGAAAGTTGGAAAGAGGTGCTGGTTTTGAGGGTAGAATGATGTGTTTGGTTTATAAACTAAGTCCAGCAGCTCCCTTAGGAAATGAAGGCTATTAAGGCCTAAAATTAATACCATCTACTTCTAATGATGAGATAATCATTCAGGGAAGAAAATTTAGTTGACCATTCAGGATCACAGGGTCTTCTGCCCTAGTTAACAGAGTGTTAACTTCTCTTTTGCTGTGTAATAAATCACTCCAAAATCAATAGCTTAAACCAACTCTAAGCATTTTCTTCTTATCTCTCATGGTTTTGAGAGTTGACTGGGGTTCAGCTTGGTGGGGTATGTCATGGATCTTGATGGAGTTTGTGACATGCTATTCCAAAATATGGCACCTTGGCATATTAAACATTTTAAGCTGAAATAATTTGAGAAACAGCATGTGCAGGAAGGCCTCTCTGACCTTCCCCTACCCTTCTCCCTTGAAGCAGGTCATAAGACCCTCATGTGAGAGGTGTCCTCCCTATACCCAGAGTAAAGGAACATCTTTACCTCCAAGATAAGGGATGCCAACAAGAATCTGAACAAACACATCTTGCCGTTTTCTCCAGTTAGCTCAGACTCTTCTTTTTATCCTGTCATATTTCTCCATTACTTTCCATTCTTCACAAAACCTACCATACAAACACCCATGTTTAGCTGCTTTCTCTAGTCTTCATTTCCTAATGAAGGCTCCCATGACATGTAAAACTTATATTGCATAAAAATGCACGTTTTTCTCTTGTTCATCTGTCTTTTGTTACAAGGCCTTCAGCCAATAACCTAAGATGGGTAGAAGGAAATGATATTTTTCTTCCTCTATAGGCTGCAGTCAAATTGTGGTTGATGCTGGAGTCATGTAAAGGCTCCCTGAGGAACATGTCTGGTGGTAGATGCTGGTTGTTGGCTGGAAGCTCCACTGAGGTTGTAAGCTGGGATACCTACATGTGGTCTACCCACATGGCTTGGACTTCCTCGGAGCATGGCAGGTGCATTCGCAAGAGCTAGTGATCAAGGAGACCAAGGCAGAATTGAGTGCCAGTATTTTTTGACTTGGTCTTGAAAATCTCATAGTGTCACTTCCTCCATACCCTGTTGATCAAGGCAGTCACAAAAGGTCTGCCCAGGTTCAAGGGAAAAGGACATAAGTCCCCTATCGGATGGAAGTGGTGTCACCATCACACTGTAGGAGCAAGATCTGCTGGTTGTCTTTGGAAAATATAGTCTGCCACACACATAACCTAGGAACAATTTTGAAATGAATATAATTCCTGTTCCTTCTTATTTCAATGTGTTTCTAAGGATTGAAAAGATTATGAATCCAAGTGATGGCAAAAGGAATGGACAATGGAAAGATTGGAAATTTGGGTTTGTTGTCAATACAATTAATTTGCCAGTTTTGTAGTTCTCAACTAAAATGGATTTCTACCTCAGGAATTCAAAAGTAAACTTGGAAGTGTAGAATTATTGTAATAGATCAGGTCACTAATGAGTATCTAGCCCATTCCTTTGATGCCAGACTAAACTGAATTTAACACATTCCAAGGAGATTTTTTTCTTTTCATCACCCTTCCCAGAATGTACCCGTACAAGGAGACTCTCCCATGACATTTCTTAGTTGTGTGTTCCAGGTTCTTTCAAAGAATTCAGGGCCTTTAAAACTTTTAAAATGTTGTCAGTACTGGATTTCCCTCATCATAACATCTCATGGTATTACTAAAACCTAAGTCTGAATTTGAAATATGCAAACAAAGTCTATCAACCTGCATGGATTGAAGAATATGCTTCAAGCCAAAATATAATTTTTTATTCTCTTAAATGTTTCTCTTTCCTTCCCAGGAAAATATGAATACTAAGTATTTCAAGATATACTAATTATGGATCACAGTAGTAATCTAGGTTGCTTTAGTAGGAGAATATTAGGTCCTAAGAAATTTATGTTAAAAAAATGGCTTTGCCAGGCTTCAATATGTAAAAGCAGATGAAAGTAAAGATGCTCGGGTTTGTGTCCCCCATCCTCTGGAACTTAACCTCAGTCCCTGTGGGTCAGCCATGCCATTCAGCCATCCTACCTCCTGCCTTCCTCTCCCCTTGCAGTGACCCAGCACCTAGGCCTCTGCAGGTCTTGGTTTGAAAATCACTGGTTACTTAGAATTCTAAGCAGATTGTTGAGAATGATTAGGAGGAGGCATTTGAAGCACTCTCAGCATATCATTACCATCACTGTCATTATCATTATCGTCATCATCTTTAGAAAACACTAAAAACTAAATGTTCATAAGCAGTCTGTTCAAGGTTGAGCATAAGAGCAAGATAAATAGTGACTTCATTCTAAGAAGGAGAGCCCAGGCTGACAAGCCCAGAAAACAAACATAGGATGAAATATTTTCACAAATTCATGAAGGGTTAATATTTTATTATTAATTCCACTTAAAGCACATATTTTGCCCCAGTCACCAGTTCTGAGAGAAAAGGATGGGTTTAGGAATGACTGCCCTCCCATCTATTGCAAATTCAAGGAGGAAGATGCAGGAACTGGGAGGGATAGTAGGGACTTCCTTGTCGTAGGCATTGACTACCTCCCACGGTATAGCTGAGCAGTCATTGAGGTCTCCAAATTTTGGTTTAACTATGTTCTTCTAACCCAGAATCTTATTAAAATGTGGATTCTAATTCAGTAGGTCTAGGATAGGGGCAATATTCTACACTTCTATCAAGTCCCCAGATGATGTCCATGGACCACGCTTCAAGGAAAAATGGTCTAGAGAAGCATCCTTATTGTGTTAAAATGCATACATTTACCAGGTTATGTCTACTTGAACAGGAAAGACAATACTTGGGACATCTGTCTCATCAATTGAAAGCAATGAGAAATTTTGTCTACTTCCCAATTCCGAACAATGGCTAGACAAGGCTATTTATTTGTTAGGGATCATGATAAAGTAACAGAAAATCTTCATATATATATGTTTGTGTGTGTGTGTTTTATAAAGTGTATTATATAAAGAGTATAACAAACATAAAACACACATTCAAATATGTGTATATAAAAAACATTTTTCACCAGCAAGAATACATTCCTTCTTATTATTATATTATAATAATAGTATGTTATTGTATAGTATAATCATTTGTAACATATACTATTATACAGTATATGGAATATACTATAACTTATATTATGTGAGAATTCCAGCATTAAGGAGACTTTCCTGCCAGGCCAACATAGAACAAATTTCACATCAAGGTTTGAAAAGAAAGACAATGTAATGACATAACTTTAGTTTATTCATTCATTAAAACAGGAAGCATTTATTTAGTATCCATCTAAATCAGGCACTGGAAAAGAATCAGGGTAATATCCACACTCAGTGGTGGGAGATGGGGATTCAGACTCTAGTGCAAGAAGCAAACATAAATATCTAAGGAACATGGCAACTTTGATAATAGATCTCTTTGCTGAACTTTTCTTTCTATATTGAAGAAGAGTTTGACACATTATCAAGCCTGAGAAGACATTTCAGTTTACAAACATGTATTGAAATGGTCAATAATGCAGGTGTAGAATGAGAAATAATTCTTTTTTTTTTTTTTTTTTTTGAGATAGAGTCTCACTCTGTTGCCCAGGCTGGAGTGCAGTGGCTCAATCTCAGCTCCTTGCAACCTCCCACTCCCAAGTTCAAGTAATTCTTGTGCCTCAATCTCCCAAATAGCTAAGACTATATGCACACGCCACCATGCCCAGCTAATTTTTGTATTTTTAGTAAGGATGAGGTTTTGCCATGTTGGCCAGGCTGGTCTCAAACTCCTGGCCTCAAGTCGCCCGCCTGCCTCAGTCTCTTAAAGTGCTGAGATTACAGGCGTCAACCACCACACCCCACCAAAAATTCTTGTCCTAGTAAACATATGACTCCAGCAGATGGCTATTGTCTTAATAGAGGAGAATGTCTAATAGTGTGAAGACACTATTTTGTTTTGATAAATATCCTGTTTTGTTAAATAACTTAAGCGAATGAAATGAAACCACCAATTCTTGACAACTTGAATCTCCTGTGAAGACTAACTTTTGTAGTTTTAAAATGGCGTATATTTCTTTTACTTTTTCTGAGGCCCTTTACTCAATATGTTAGCTTGGACTGTGGACATTAGCTGAGTTTTTTTCTCTCTTGGATAGATAATAGCTTCCATGAAAAGCCTTGAGAGCAATTATAGATCTTGTCCATATAGTAATATCTTCCCTCTAAGGAGTTCTGATAAGTTCCAGTCTCAATTTTCTCAGATGAACAATCAGAAGGTGTACTAAAAGTCCTTAGGACTGCAGCCAGCCCTGCAGGACCTTTGAGAATCACCAGATTAAAAAAAAAGCATTTCCCCCAGGCAGTCAACTTACAAAGAAGACATCCCTCTCACCATGCTTCAACCCAGTGTCATGACTCAGGGCTTAATTTCAACCTCCTTTACCCTCTCAGTGGGTGCTCACAGATGAGTCCATGCAGCTGTCCTGAATCCCCTCAGTTTAGAAGAACTTCTTTTGAATTTGACAACAAATTGGACAAATGACAACCTAATCTGTACTCCAGAGACCTTGGTAAAAGCTCTCAGGGGACCAGATGTTTCAGGCATGTTTAAATAGTCAATAAAGGCAGGCAGAGACAAACTAAAGCTCAATAAACTTTATAAAAGCCACCAACAGGGCAAACATATGAATGGGACTGAGGAGTGGAGGAAGTGTCTCAGAAAGCAGGTACCTGGTTCCTTGGGATTTGTCATTCTTTCCTGAGAAAGGATCATCTAGGGTAGCCCAAGTCATCCTCTGTCATCTTTTTAACTAACTTGTCCTCATCACATGTGGAAAAGAAATCAAGGCTGGATGTCCTACCTATAGAAATTCAAAAGACACTTCAGTGGACTGGCACTATATGAGTCTGTCTTACTCGGCTCAGGCTTTTGTAATAAAATACCATAGACTGAGTGGCTTAAATGACTAACGTTTATTTCTCATAGTTCTGGAGACTGGGATGGGTTCCAGGATCCAGGTGCCAGCAGATTTGGTGTCTGGTGAGGATGCTCTTCCTGGTTTGCAGATGGCACCTTCCTGCTGTATTGTCACCTTGGCTGAGAGAGATCATCTCTATTGTGCCTCTTCTTATAGTGGCACAAATCCTATCATGAAGGCTCCACTCTTATGACCTAATTGCCTTCCAAAGTCCTGACCTCCAAATACCATCACATTGGGGATTTAGATTGCAATGTGTGAATTTGTGGCAGGCTGTGGAGCATTCAGTCCACAGCAGTAAGGAAGCCTTAATATAATTTTAGGGGATGAATATAAATAAAAGAGAAATTTGAAAAATGGCGTATCTAGGTGATCAAAGCACTTTCTAAACCTCACTGTTGTGCAGAATTCACACAGCCTTGTTGAGTCCCCACTTGTGTCCAGGTTTCATTTCCATGATATCATTTAATCCTGATGATGATACCTTGAGGTAGGATTTTTTAAAATTCCTGTTTTATAGTTGAAGAAATAGGTTCATAAAAACAAAGTAACTTGTCCAAGTGCAAACAGCTAGTTAAGTGATGGGACTGGGGTTAGAACCAAAGCCTTTAGGCCTCAATTCTATTTTTTAAACTGGAGCGTGGCTTTGAATACAATGTCCAACCAGGGGAGCTCTGGACCCAACATGAGAGCAAATGCTTGTCTGAGGTATGGAAATTGACCCTAGCAAGTGTGACCAAGGCATACATTCTACTGATACATATTCACTGACTCTCTACCTTCCAGTGCATCCTTTGTGTATCTGTTTAGGTCCCAGGTTGCTGTTTTTTTCCTTTTTTTTTTTTTTTTTTTTTTTTTTTTTGAGACAGGGGTCTTCCTCTGTTGCTCAGGCTAAAGTGCAGTGGTGCAATCATAGCTCACTGTGGCCTCTACTTCCTGGTCTCAAGTGATCATCCTCCCTCAGCCTCCTAAGTACCTAGGAGTCATGCACCAACATGCCCAGCTAAGTATTTTATTTTTGGTAGAGATAAGGTCTTGCTGTGTTGCCCAGGCTAGTCTCAAATTCCTGGCCTCAAGCAATCCTTCTGCCTTGGCCTCCCAAATTGTTGGGTTTACAGGCATTAGCCGTTATGCTTGGCCCCAGGTCTTTTTTTTAAAAAAAAAAAAAGAAAAAAAAATTTGTGGAGAAACAAATGGGAATAATTGAAATTAATAAATCTGATTAAATCGTTGCTGTGAGATGTAGGACTTCAAGAAGCTAGGGAAGAGGAGTGTGATGTGTTATGCAATACAATTTGCCTCTATCTTTGACATCTCTTTGAGTCTTCATGGAAGATTTTCATATTTCTTGGTTGGTTTGTTTGATGAGACACTTGTGTTTCTTCGGAATGTAACCACGTACCAAGATTGACCATGAGGTAGCCCAATTATCTTGAGTTACACAGTAAATAAGAAACTTGAGAGCCTGGGTCAGTCTATCCTACTATCTCAGTCTACTTCCGACTAATATATACTTCTAGGTTTTCTATGCACCCTGGTTTTTGCATCTCCTACAAAACATCAGGTGTTATGTGGGGTTTTTTATTTACTCAGGCTTGAATTTGCAGCATGTTCACCTTGTTTCATGGTTCTTTTAAAAAATAATATTTTAAAGGAGTTTGTGATCAGAGACCATTGTAGGTATTCTCTATCCTCTGGTCCCCTATGGCTCAGCCTTAAAGAAATACTCTCTGTGACAGTAGTTGTCTTCTTTCTCCTTAGAAGGCATGAAAAGAACAGAGTAAATAAAACAATATTCTTAGCAAAGAAGCCACCCAAAGGCACGATTGATTTGTAGATTTCTTACATTAGGTTGCTGTCTTACATGAGAACAGCCTGCAAGGGAACCAGGACCCGTGGCAATGAAGGGAAAGAGAGGGCTTAGAGGCAGGGCACAGATGGGATGGAAAAACCTTATGGTCACTCCTCCTGAGTAATTACTTAAACATCTTAAATGAGACATTTTTAAATGTGTTCAGCAAGGTCATTAGCTGTGCATGGAGAAAGGCTTATTTTTAAAGTTTTGACGTAGTTCATGGAATGCTTTGTTCCTAATTTAGAGCACTTGTCCTGAGAGTTCCAAGTCTTCGGCATTTGCTTCCACCCACCACGTGTTTCGCTCACAGCAGGCCAAAATCCACTTGGGGTGACGTCCCAGAGTCCAGCAGCTCCATGGGGAGCCAGTGAGGCCTGAGAGAGAGGTTGTTCGGGGATGATTTAGAAAAGAACCCAGCTTTTCAAAAAGACACGTAGGATATGAGAGTTTGGGTTAGTTTCAGTAAGCATTCACTTCTTTCCCCTTTCTATTGTTGGTGGAGTGTCCTTCTGGGCCCTTTGAGGGTGTGCTTGGCTTTGTGACTTAACTTTGGTCAGTGATATATTAGCAGATGTGAGGCAAACAGAGACCTTAGCTGAACTTGTTCAATTAGGCTTAGCTCTTGCATTCTGGTGATCTGCTGTGAGGAGAGTTGCTGCTGGATAGATGCTGCTATTTCTCCCTGAATCTCAGAAGAAACACAGAGGGAGAAGACCTGAATGTAAGCCATAGTTAGCTGCCTCACAGTGTAAGGCAGAGCCATCCAACTGAGCCCAGCCTAGATTAGCCAGCCCCAAAATCTATGACTGTGATATTAATGCTTGTTGTAAGTTATTTGGGTATTTGCTACATAACATTTTTACAATAATAGCTGACTAATACACAGAGTTCATGATTGGTATTTTTTTTCCTGCACCTGGGTGGACATTTATATAACTAAACATGATAGTTTAAAACTTCTTCACACAAGATAAAAAAAAAGGCGGGGGGGAGCTTTAATTACCTTCAATCTAGAATTCTGAGACAAAAGAGTGGCTTTTTATAGAAGTGGTTTCCCCTCTAACAAAAATAACAGCTATCCCCAAAGTGAGCCTGCTGGAGAGCCAGGATTAGCAGATACCTAAGAGTGGTTGTGGGGTATTTACATTAATTGATTTATTTTGGACTATTAGCCTGGAGAGTCCACTGAAATCCTCCAACCCATAAAGACTACCTTAAAAATTGTCTAGAACGTTTTAAATTTAAATGGAAAAATGTATATTTTTAACTTCTTTTGAAAAAAAAAATCAGAGTATTAGGAGATAATTGTGCCTGCATTGCTTTCTGATAATACATATGGGAGCTGAATATCTGTTCCCTCTAGACTTCGTGTGTGCCTTTCAGTTTACTGACGTCCTTGACATGTTCTGTTACTCAAATTCAGCTGTCTCATGTGTTTTTGTTACTTGCCTTATCCTTGTGGCACTGAGATTTGTGATATATACTAGCTCAACAACCCTCACCCCATTTTAAGGAGTTCACAGAGGTAAAGGAAGGCACAAGTGCTTAGCACAGAGTAGATGCTCAAAAGGGTGGCCGTACATCAATTTTCCCAAGACAGTCCTGGGTAATACCTGATGTC
Organism: Homo sapiens; assembly: GCF_000001405.40. Lineage (NCBI taxonomy): Eukaryota > Metazoa > Chordata > Mammalia > Primates > Hominidae > Homo > Homo sapiens. The sequence goes on along the minus strand of NC_000020.11, from coordinate 8,900,388 downwards.
CTGGGCTCATGTATCAATCTGTATGAGAAGTTATAGAGTTGTATGTGGCAGCTGTTACTGGCTTTCAACTGGCACCTCAGCTGAGCCTCTCAACTGGGGCAACTCACATGGCTGTTCTGTATGGTCTGGGCTTGCTCACAGCATAGAGGCCTCTGGGTAATCAGGCTTCTTGTATGGTGGCTCAGGGTGTCCCAAGCTACAAGGCAGAAGTTGTATCTGTTGCCTTGTTTGACTTAGCCTTGGAAGTCACACAGCACCACTGCTACCTTATTCTAATGGTCACAATCCTGCCCAGATTCAGGACAGGGGACATAGACACCACTTACTGTGCAATGACTAGGTAAATAGTAGCAAAGCCAAGACTAGGGCCAAGACTGCTTACTCTATTCAGTGTTAATTCTTCTGTACCAAGAAGCCTTATGCAGCATCATTCCCTATCACCTCTCCACTGACAATATAACAAATGAGCATCTATGTATTCTGAGAGCTAAGCCATGCATGATCTTCAGAAGATCTTGTAAAAATCTTGAAATTAAGGGCAAAATCTGTTTTTTTATTTGATATGCATATATTGGTCAGAGTTCTCTGTTGCAGACATAATTTAAGCATTTATTGAAGGGCATCAGATGACTCCCAGAATCTCTGAAAGGGTCTAAGAATTAGGCTGAAAGTTGGACAGCTAGGAACATCTCTAAAGTTACACTGCACAATGCTTCAGGGAATACTCTGATGCCCCGACTCCTGAACAGTCACTGCACCTCACTTAGATGCCATGCACTATAATGTACTAGTACCTCTGCCCACGCACTACTGTGTCTGAAATCTCAATGTCTTCACCTCCAACCTAGCCAGAGTGGATCTGTGAGTGCATGTGTTTGAATATCATTTGCTTTCAAATAGATGTCCTGTGTATATCTACCTGAATAGTTGATTATGGACCATGTGTCTGTGTCATAGATGCAACCACGGGAAGTGAATTTTTAGATTCTACTCCGGAGGTATGCAGATTAAGAAGGGGAAAAAATTCTCAAACATAAGAAAAGTGTTTGGGCTAGGTGTGGTGGCTCACGCCTGTAATCCCAGCACTTTGGGAGGCCGAGGCGGGCAGATCACCTGAGGTCGGGAGTTCAAGACCAGCCTGGCTAACATGGTAAAACCCCATCTCTACTGAAAATACAAAAATTAGCTGGGCATGGTGGTGCATGCCTGTAATCCCAGCTACTCAGGAGGCTGAGGCAGGAGAATCACTGGAACCTGGGAGGTGGGATTGTGCCACTGTACTCCAGCCTGGATGGCAGAGTGAGACTCTATCTCAAAAAAAAAAAAAAAAAAAGAACAGTGTTTATAAAGTGCTGAGGAGGCAAAAATCATGAAAAAGTCTACTATGTGAATGTTTACATTTGTGTGATTTTCTGAATCAAGGTTCTTAGTTTACATCAGAATCTCTAAGAGATCCCTAATCTCCACTACTAAGAATCATTGTCACATGGGCTCCCCTTGCATAAACACAAATTTGTGTGCTTGAGTCCATTACATATGAATCCATTATACTTTTCAGAATTGAAGGCTATGAAGTACAATTATCTCTATTCCAATAATATAAACAATTAGTAAAAATCAGATGAATATTGGAGTGCTTTCTTTCTTTCTTTCTTTCTTTTTTTTTTGAGACGGAGTCTCGCTCTTTCTCCCAGGCTGGAGTGCAGTGGCGCTATCTCGGCTCACTGCAAGCTCCGCTTCCCAGGTTCACGCCATTCTCCTGCCTCAGCCTCCTGAGTAGCTGGGACTACAGGCACCCGCCACAACGCCCGGCTAATATTTTTATTTTTAGTAGAGACGGGGTTTCAAGGTGTTAGCCAGGATTCTTTCTTTTTCTGAGTGATATTTTTGTTCCATTATTAAATCACTGTTTTGTGTTCCTTTTTGGGATGATGAAAAGGAACAAAGTTCACTAAAGCCTTGATTAACAAGGATATTTATTTTAATAGAGTTTGTTTGTTTGACTTCTGCTTTGAGAATAACATAACAAAAACAAAAGAAAACACAAATCACAGAAAGCTCCCAGTAAGGATTTATTCTAAAAATATGCTTTTAGAGAAGGCTTAGAGTAAGGATACATCAGCTCAATTTTCTAGAATTTCCAATACTTGATATGCAAGCAAATCCCTTGGAGACTCAATACATTCTCAAGTATACAAAAAAAATCAACTTTTCTCACTGTATCATGAGGGATGGCAGGAATGCAGAGTAAAACATTTTGGAAGATTCCACATGAAAAATAAGATTAGAACTCAAAGGAATCTCAAATCTAAGGCACAGAGAAGGCCTGTTTTGTGCAAGACCAACAAACTCATGGCAGAGAGTGAAATGGAATTGAAGACTTCTGATTCCCAACCTGGTGTCCTTTCTTTTAAAATACCCCTAGAAGGGTTTGTAACAATGATTTTGTGCAAGTTAGTTACTGCTGTAAATGAAGCACTCCAAAATTTAGTGGCTAAAACAAAAAAATCATTCATTAATGCTTACAAGTTTGCAGATTGGCTAGAAAGTTCCGCTGCTTTGAACCAGCTCTGCTACCTTAGCTGGGCTCACTCAGCTGGGTGGTCAGCTGCTGCTTGGCTAGGTGGCTGAACTGATCCTGGTTGGGCTCTATCTTATGTTTGGTCCTTCAGCTGGGAAAATGAGGTTAACTCTGCTTTATGAGGTTTCTCTTCCTCCAACAGGCTAGCAAAGGCCTGTTCTCATGGTGGTAACAGGATTCCAAAAAAAAAAAAAAAAAAAAAGACGCCTAATCTGGGACCTGTAATAATAGAGTAACTCACTCTCTTAGCCAAGGCCTATCTTAAGACCAGCCCAGATTCAGGGATAGAGAAGAGACATGGCCTCTTCATGGCAAGATCTGCAAAGTCACATTATAAAAATACAGGAAGTCTGTGAAGAATTAGTGCCATTTTTTTTTTTTGCAACCAATCTACCACAGGTTAATTAATTTATTCAACCTTTATTAATTGTCATTAATTGTGCCTGGCCCTACTATAAGCCCTGGAGATAAAATAAAGAATAATTGATCTTATACTTATTTCTTAGTGAAAAATATAATGTAATCAAAACATCTGTTTCCTCAGGCAATTTGATGACCAAGGGTCAGGTTTTATATCACTGTCCAGAAAGCCATTAGCACTTAAATTTGGTATTATACCTTCTATTAAAAATACACATAGAAATTTGGGAGTAATTTAGGGTGGATAAATTAAAATTGGCATTGTTGAGAATAATTGACTTCTCAGAGGTGCAGCCAACAGGGAACTGTCAGGCTAGATGAGTTTTTACACATCTTAGACAGAAACTGGAGCTCTAGGTGCTAAATTTAGCTTACAAGGATATCATACATACATTTGACAACTTGAAGGTCTTTAGATTATAGAAGAAGGCTTTGCCATCCCTACCTGATATTTTTCTATCTAGTTGCTATGAGTGTGATGCTATGGAGTGTCCCCAAACAACAAATGAGCCACTTCATTTTTAGACTTTGATTGGCTACTTTCCCAGGAGACTAAGAGTAAACATTTCATGTTAACCAGATGCAGGGCCAGGTCTGGGTATCACTGAATGTATTTTTCAGAAAAATAGTTAAAAATGTTCAAATATATCCAGTAGGAACTCAATAACTTTTCTGAGACAACAACTAAAGTACTAGATAAAGTAGAAAACAAAACCTTTTAAAAATAATGAAGATACAAGATAGCATGTAATTATCAGGCCAAACTCTAAGGGAAATCTAGAATCCAGAGAGGTAAGTAGAGCACTGAAGGCATTGTTTACCAATCCTGGCAAATTTGAACTTCAATTTTGATGGCCCCATGGGACAGATAAAAATGAAAGTCTGAGTTAATTTAAATCAGAAAGTCTAATAAGAGGCCATTTGACCATTAAGCAGGTGTCCCAAAGGATTCAAAATTAGGATAAAGAAAAATTAGAAGTAATCTTAACACTGTCTTTATGATAGGGCCTGCAAAGAAAGTTTCTTTGATTCTCAGCTAGGGAAAAAGTTTTCCCAAAAAGGCTGTATCTGCAAAACTGGCCTCACAAGAAATTGTATTCTTTTTTTTTTTTTTTTTTTGAGACGGAGTCTCCCTTGTTGCCCAGGCTGGAGTGCAGTGGCAAGATCAGAAATTGTATTCTTAAAATGAGATATTGTATACATTAGTGGTTTAGACACATTAAAAAACAAAACCAAATCAAAAATAGACAAACAAACACTGAAGAGATCTAGGTTAGCTACTCCCCTAGGCACCATGTAGAAACAAACATGAATTCTTTCTCTCAGAAGGCACTTCCATCCTAGATCCTAGAGAATGGCCATAAATAATTTTTCAAGGAAAATAAGTACTATTCAGTAAAAATTAAACACACAAGACAATAAAGCACTTTAAGCAGGAACCAGTAGAAACTAACCTGTGAAGCTGACATTTATAAAACATCTTACTATACTTAAAGGAAAAAAAGACAAGTAGAAATAATGTTCAGGGAACAGAAAACTATGAAGAGTGATCTAGCACTTCCAAAAGAATGCCAAAAAATGTCTAGAAATAAAAATATGCAAGAGCTGAAACAAAAAGCAAACAACTCAACAGACAGATTTAACAGCAAATTAGACACAGCTGAAAAGAGAATCATTAAATTGGAAGATAGGTTAGGAAAATTGGGAACTAGGAAGCTAACTGAAAATGGTAGCTGTCTCAGAGGCCATTATAAAGTTGATGTGCTGAATGACATAAGAAGGAACTTTCAAAAAGCAGAGAGGATTTGAGAGGCCATGGACAGCTGGAATAGCTAACATGTGGTTATCTAATCTCCCTTTGCATTATGCAGTGCTTAGGCAGGCAGTAAATAAGATAAACAGCATAAACAATGGCTTTCTTTCCTCAGAATTAGAATCCAGCACATAATAAGTAGGATAATACAATATACTGGACCACAGACTACCGTAACGGGCCATTGGAATAGAAAGGACAGTGTATGGCATTAAGCATATTAAGGTAAATATTCAGGTGTGCCCAAATCTTAGAAGAAGAGGAAGGGCAAATCTGGAAATTTAAGAAAACATTATCAGCAAGGTTTCAAGCACTGAGAAGAAAAATCAGTGGTCAACATGGGAATCTCTAAGGGAGCTCTTTCTTCATCATAGTTGGCCAGTGGAACAACCTTTTATCTTTCGTGTCATATACATGTGTATTCCTTCAGGTCTTAAAGGACATTTCGGATAAGCTCAGTCATTTTGGGTATAAATGACTCTCTTCATGATTCAGAAGCTTTTGGTAAGATGTTTTTATGTAACTCAATAGTTCATTTTTTTAGTGCCCATCTGCTAAGAGAAACTCACTTATTTTCAGTTGTAGCTAAATTCCAAGAGGCTTACACAGCGCTAAGATGTGCCAGAAGGAGAACCCACTGATCCTCAATGTCGTCTTTCTATGCAGGCCTCTGCTGAGACATCCACCACTCTACGTTGTTGCTGTCCTCCTAGTCCATTTATATTCAATCGTTCTCACTGCTTTGTCTGTTTCAACCTTGGGAATTCTGGAATTTTTCTGTTGTTTCCATGCCACACTAGAATATAGGGATTTATTGAAGCTGCCTTAGTACAATTTGCTAAGGTTGACTGTGGTCCCTCTGAGATCTCGTTCTTTCTTTGGTGTTTTGCATAAAGAGACTAAATTTCTTTCTCAAGAACCTCTGACATCTATACTTTTAACATACCCACCCCCCATGTCTGTTTATTTTGTTTATTTTTCTCAGATCAGGCAGACATTATTTTGTTTCATGATTTCTTTCAACATTTTGTCCATAACTGGAATCCTTTCCATTCTTCCAATTATTCAGGTTTTTGAATGAGAAATGCCAGGAAGAGATTCACAGACTTTCAGCTTTCCACCTTACTGCTTTTATTCTCTGAGACATGAAACACAGAAAGGCTTGACTTTTGAGTAAATGAAAGATCATATGGTGTATTAGTTTATTCTTGCACTGCTATAAAGAAATACCTGAGGCTGAGCAATTGATAAAGAAAAGAGGTTTAATTGGCTCACAGTTTGGCAGGCTGTACAGGAAGCATAGTGCTGGCATCTGCTCAGTTTCTGGTGAGGGGCTCAGGGAGCTCTTACTAATGGTGGAAGCCAAAGGGAAAGCCAGCATGTCACACGTTCAGAGTGGGAGCAAGAGACAGAGAGAGAAATGAGGTCTCGGATGTTTCAACAGCCAGGTCTCATGTGCACTAACTGAGCAAGAACTCACTTATCACCAAAGGGATGGTGCTAAACCATTCATGAGGGATCTACTCCCATGATTCAATGACCTCCCACTAGGCCCCACCTCCAACATTGAGAATCACATTTCAACATGTGCAACATGAGATTTGGACAGGACAAACATCCAAGCCATATCAGATAGGGACAATATTATATTATTTAATATTTTTGATATTATCCAGCTGCTTATGTTTGGAAGCAATACTGTCCTGGATCCAGGCAAGAGAAGTGCTTGCCTTGGGCCTCATGCTTTAGAGGTCTTAACTCTGGCCTTTGCCTGGTTGTGTCTACCCCACAAGGAGAAATCTGTTTGGCCTAATGCCAAACTGGAGGCAACATACCCTTTTTAGACTATAACCAGCACCCTAGAATTCCTGGCTCAAATGTTTCCAAGCCCAATTCTAGGGCTGGCATAGGCTTATTCCCTGGGTCCTTCCATTTGAGGATGAGTCAAGCTATAATTATGGTCACATATAAGTCTCAGAGTTGGGCAAGGGGGTGCCTTGAGGTTTAACAATTAAAGATCTATAATTCCTAGTGCATAGGTAGCTTTATGGAAACCAGTTTACCTAACTCTTCCGTGTATGTTACTTACAGATGGAATGCAACCTTTCTTGACATGTTGGGTGTTAGGATGTAGCCCTTAGCCTTCTTCAGAGATCACCTGAGAAAAATCTCTCTTCACCTAAAGAGTTTTTTATTTCTGCCTGAGGATGCTTTCTTGCCACAGGAGCATGCTTGGCTAATAAATTGCACAAGTTGGAAGTGTTAAGGAGCTAGTGCCTGAGCAGAAAGCCTCAACTAATGAGTGATGGGAAATGGTGGGTAAATGTCCCAGCTTCTTCATGTCTTGGTGAGTTAACTGTGAGGGGTGCACCTAAGGCCTTTTGAGTTTGACTGGGGGGCTTGAGCACTTTTGTTCACAGTGATAACCCAGTCATCAAAATAACTTTCCTCACACTCCCACCTCACTTAAAGAAAATAGAAGAAAGAAAGAAAATGGAATAAATCAACTGGGAATTGAGGGAAATGTTAGGGGCAGGTCTTTAATCTGTGACTGTAATAAACAGGGAGATGAAAAGATGGGGAAAGTAGAGACTTTGTAATGTGTTGTGAATCAATCCTAGTTTGGCATTTTTAATAGAGATTTCGGTACAAATTCATCTCCCAAATAAACTACTTGAACTCATAAACTGTCTCTTGGGCTATATCCTAGGTTCCAAAACTTGGGGTGGCCGTTTGCTGCGTGTAAATTGCAAGTGAGGATAAAAAGATGGTAAATACCATTCGATGCTGAAGACCCTCTGCCACAATCTGGGGTTTGTATGTGTGTGTGTGTGAGCGTGCAAGAGTGCATACTTGCATAGCATTAGCCTAGCTGTGAGAAAAGAGAAATAGACCCTTCCTTCTGTCAAACTGTGTTGGGGTAGAGACACAGAGTCTGAGTAGAGGCACAGAGAGTGGACTTAAAGATATACTTACCTGAGAATGATTATTACCAAGAAACATGCACTTTAAATCTGACTGAGCCTATGGCAGAATCAATGCCTAGAATATAGTAGGTGTTTATTAAATATGTGTTGATTGAGTATATTACTGGAAAATATGTTAACGAAGGTGTAGCTGTAGCCTCTCCCAGTGTAAAGATAATTCTATTTTTGCCTGCTTTATTTGTGAGCCTTTGGGGGGCTGAATGAAGCAACACTAGAGCATTCAGAAAGAATACAGTGATTCACATTGGAAAGCTTAAAGGATTCATGCAAAGATTAAAGATGGTTCAAGAAAATAGAGTAAATACAGAGATGAGGGTGAGGGGAGAAAAGGCAAGAGCTGTACAAGCTGGGTTTTAAGGGTGGTTTTGGTGGCAGTTTCTTTATCAGTGACAATCACGAGAGAGACAAAGAGGGGATGAAAGCAATGTTAAGAGACTCTGGTAGATTATGAATCAAATCTTACTTGGGCACTTTTTGTAGCAAGTTTAGTACAAACTTATCTCTGCTTTCCAGCTATTTTTCTGGTCTTGGGGTATTTTTACTTTGAATACAATCCTGCCTGGAGATTGTGCTTTCTATTGGTTTTAAATAAATTAACGTACAACCATAGGTTCTTATAGAACAGGTAGTTTTGGAAGTAAAAAAAAGAAACCAAATTATGATATTTCACTGATTCTAAGATATACTTTTGCTTTTAACCTTCCTGAAATTGTATTGAATGCCTTTATGTTTGATGAGGAGTCATAATTTAATTGGTAATTTGTTTTCCTTTGTTATTGGTGTGTTTCTTATTGACACATTGAATTTCTTGACAGCATCAGTTGGATAATGTGTTATGTAATTTGCTTCAACTTTTAAAGTGTGTGGGGCTAAGATCGCCATTGCAATATTCAAACTTTCACTTGCCCTTAATAAATACATTTTCTTCTGTAAGAAATTTACTGGATGCAAGTTAATGCAACTCACATTTATCAGACATTTTATGTACTCTAATTTTAGAAGAAAGAGAAGTCTGGGGAAATAAACAAATATTTGACATTTAGTAAAACAATAAGCAGACAAATGGCTTTCTGGAGTCACATAGAAAACAACCAGGACTATTTCTATGCAACCTACAGCTGTTCAGTAGCCTCGGAGAAATAATAATTGAAAGAGCCTTCCTAAGATGAGGTTTTGTGATGGACAGCCACAAAATCACCAGAGGCCAAAAATCAAGAAAGGAGACCTAGATTTAAAAACAAATATTCAACCAATTAAAAATGGGCAAAGGATTTGAACAGACATTCCACTGAAGATATGCATATGGTCAAGATACACAACATATTAGTTACTAGAGAAATGCAAATGAAAACCACAGTGAGACATTATTCCACACCCACTAGGATATTAATAATCAAAAAGACAGAAAACAAGTGTGAGCAAGAATGTGAGAGATTGGAAGCTTCATACATTGTTGGGTATTTAAAGCGGTACAGCCACTTTGGAAAACAGTTTGGCAGTTCCTCAAAGGGTTAAGCATAGAGTTACCATATAACATAGCAATTCTACTCCTAAGTATATACCCAAGAGAAGCTGAAAACATATTTCCACATAAAGACTTGTATGCAAATGTTCATAGCAGCATTATTCATAATAACCAAAAAATGGAAGCAACCCAAATGTCCATCAGGTGTGAATGAATAAATAAAATATATTTCCGATAAAATATTCTCCAACTATTAAAAAGAGTTAAATACTGATAGATGAATCTTGAAAACTTTATGCTAAGTGAAAGAAGCCAGATGGAAAAGGTCACATAATGTATAAATTCAATTGTATGAAATGTCCAGAATAGGCAAATCCACAGAGACAGAAAAAGAATTAATGGTTTTCACGGGCTGAAGAGAGAATGTTTGGGGGAGGGAATGAGAAGTGTTTTCTTATGGGTATGAGGTTTCTTTTTGGGGTGATGAAAATGTTCTGAAATTAGGGTGATGATTAATAAGAAACTGTGATTACACTAAAAATCACTGGAGTGTGTACTTTGTAAAACAGTGTACTTTATGGAACATGAATTATAAAGTTGTTATTTAAAAAATTAGCTAGATTGTGCACACCTGCAGTCCCCGCTACTTAGGAGGCTGATGTGGGAGGGTTGCTTGGGCCCAGGAGTTTGAAACTTCAGTGAGCTATGAATGCACCACTGCACTCCAGACTGGGTGACAGAGTGAGACTATGCCTTTTTTAGAGACCGTGCCTCTAAAAAAATTAAATACAATATTAAAAAGAATAAAAGATCCAGAATCAGAGAGAAACATAAAACAAACAAACAGATACAATATCCAGAGTGTTCAAAGAAGCAATTTAACAATACATGAATGTTCAGGGGCAAGAATTGCTCCTGAATTTTCTCTTATGGGCAAAAAGAGTCTGCTTGGTAACCCCAGGATCTAAGGTAAGCCCCACTTTCTTCACCAATGTCTCAGAAAATAATATTTGGTTTCATCAGTTACTAGCTCTTTCATGTTTTGGAGTTGGTACCCTAAGTCAAAGGCAAAGAGTGTGGCTCCTGTGTAGTCTAGCCTTACTATTATAGTGTTGCTGACTCAGAAAGTACCTAAATAGCATTGTAGCATTGACTTAATGACATTTATTATTGAGATAATTGAGATATCAGTTGTTTCTTTTTCTGGTCTTGCTTTGTGTTTGTTTGTTTTTGTTGTTGTTGTTTGTTTGTTTTTGAGACAGGGTATTGCTCTAAGTCTCCCAGGTTAGAGTGCAATGGTACAATCATGGCTCACTGCAGCATTGAATTTCTGGGCTCAAGTGATTTTCTTAACTTCAGCTTCCCAAGTAGCTGGGACTAGAGGTGCATGCCACCATGCCCAGCTAATTTTTTCTATTTTAGGAAAGGGAAAAAAATTATATTTAAAATAGGAAAAATGATATTGGGTCTCACCATGCTTCCCAAGCTGGTCTTGAACTCTTGAGCTCAAGCAATCCAACCACCTCTGCCTCCCAAAGTGTTAGGATTACAGGCATGAGCCTTTGTACCTAGCCAATTGTTTATTTTCCTCTAATGTAGCACTAATAGCTAGATAAGCAAATGGATTTATTCACTGTAAATGCAATATTTATTAAGTTATGACATTAGGGTGAGTGTGCAGATTCATCGTAAATGAGACATGACATCTGACATCAAAGGTGTCCATGGAGGATGTATTTAGTAAGAAGGCCATTACATGGAGTTGGCATGCACTCTCTATGTGGAAGAAATAACAAGGCATTGCTGGATTGATTACCTTAGTAACAACCCTGTGTCTACATCTTTTTCCTTGTGACATTGGAGGCTCCTTTTATTCTTTATCTGGGCTGGCCTTTTGGCTTATTTTCACCAATAGAATGTGGTGGAAGTGATGGTGCATGGTTCTGAGTTTAGACTTCAAGAGACCTTGAGCACTTTTATGTGTTCTTTATATCCTGCCTCTGACATGTGAAAAAGCCATACATTTCATACAACTGGATTTATACAATATGTGACCTTTTCCATCTGGCTTCTTTCACTTAGCATAAAGTTTTAAAGATTTGTCTGTGTTTTAGCATGTATCAGTATTTAACTCTTTTTAATAGTTGGAGAATATTTTATTGGATACCCATTTTATCTCCCAGAGGATGAGAAATCCTATGAATTAGAGTCACATCAGCCCGGTTGTTCCAGCCAAGGCCCCAGACATGTCAATGAGCCTAGCCATGATCAGCCACCAGATAGCTCTCAGCTTACCGTAGCGGCATAGATGAGCCCAGCTGAGATAAGCCCAGCCCAGCTCAGATCAGCAGAGCCATCTACCCATCCATAGGCCCACAACCAATAGTAAGTGGTAGTTATTTCAAACATCAAGTTTTGCTGTGGCTTGTTATGCAGCAGTGGGTGACTGATACAGGTTGCATTGGGAGAATAGATGAAGGGGCCTGGCAGAAGCTTTGGTGGATCCAAGAATGGTTCCTAGAGGAATTGACATTTATGTTATAAACTGAACGATAAATAGAAGTTAGCCAGGGAAAGGAGGGAACCAAAGGAACTTGTGTGTCTGTGTGCGTGTACTGGGGGAGTGATTTAAGAGAAAGAGAAAGGATGGATGAAGCAGTTGAAAGAAATGGTAGTTAAAAAGCCTATGAGGTGGAATGGTCCATAAGGTTGTGTAGGCTGGAGTGTGATTTGTAATACTGGTTTTGTTCACTGATGTAGAAAGCAAAGGAGGTGGAGCAGCTTTGAAGGTAACACAAATTCGGCTTCATGCATACTGTGTGTGGCAGATTATATTTTTTAAAGATGGTCATGCCTATATATTCATTCCATCCCTCATGTACTTCTTCAGGATGATCAACTGTGTTCCCAAGGTAAGATGGGGTCTATGTTTGTTACTGCACCTTGAATCTGGGAAGAGGCTTGTGATAGCACCAATGAATAGAGTCTGGCATAAGTGATGTATGTAACTTTGAGGCTTGGTTATAAAAATGTTGATGGTTTCTGTCTGGCTCTCTCAGGAGGCTCTTCCTTGGAATCCAGCTACCATATTGTGAAAAAGCCCAGGCCCAGGCTTCTCCATAGAAAGGGCATGAGCAAGTATTCCACCCCAGAGCCCCAGCTAGGCTCCCACTTGATACAACATCAACCACTAGATGTGTGAGTGGATTCTAGCCCTAGACCTCTAATCTTCTGGCTGAGGCCCCAGATATCATAGAGACAAGCCATATCTGCTTTGCCCTCTCTGAATTCCTGACTCAAAAAACCTGTGAGATAACATTTGATAAAATTCAGCATCACTTTGTGATAAAAGCCCTAACAAAACTGGACACAGAAGGAAAAGCCATATATGACAAATCTATAGCTAGTATCACACTGAATTGAAAAAAATGGTAAGTCATTCCTCTAAGATCTGGAACAAGAGAAGGATGCCCACTTTCACCGCTGTTGTTGAACACAGTACTTTAAGTCTTAGCTAGAACAATCAGACAAGAGAAGGAAATAAATGGCATCCAAATTGGAAAGGAAAAATCAAATTATCCTTGTTTGCAGATGATATAATCTTATATTTGTAAAAAGCTAAGACTCCACCAAAAATTATTAGAACTGAGAAATAAATTCAGTAAAGTTGCAGGATATAAAGTTAACATACAAAAAATAATAGCATTTCTATATACCAGCAGTGAACAATCTGAAGAAGATATCGAGAAGATAATCCCATTTATAATAGCTACAAGTAAAATACTTAGGAATAAATTTAAACCAAAGAACTGAAAGATCTGTACCATAAAAACTACAAAACATTGATGCAAGAAATTGAAGAGGACACAAGAAAAAGGAACGATATTGCATGTTCATGGATTGGAAGAATCAATACTGTTAAAATGTCCATATCACCCAAAGCAATCTACAGATTCAGTGCAATCCCTATCAAAATACCAATGACATTCTTCACAGAAATAGAAAAAAAAAATCCTAAAATTTATGTGGAACCACAAAAGGCCCAGAATAGCCAAAGCTGTCATGAGCAAAAAGAACAAAACTGGGGAGGCCACATTATTTGACTTCAAATTATACTACAGAGCTATAGTAACCCAAACAGCATGGTGCTGGCATAGAAACAGACACATTGACCAATGGAACAGAGTAGAGAACCCAGAAATAAATCACTACATCTACAGTGAGCTCATTTTGAACAAAGGTGCCAAGGACATATGTTGGAGAAAGGACAGTCTCTTCAATAAATGGTGCTGGGAAAACTGTATATCCATATACAGAACAATAAAACTTGACCTCTATCTCTCACCATATACAAACATCAAATCAAAATGGACTAAAGACTTAAATCTAAGACCTGAAACTATGAAACTACTAAGATAAAATATTGGGGAAACTCTCCAGGACATTGAAGTGGACAAAGATTTCTTAAGGAATACCCCACAAGTGCAGGCAACTGGGGGGAAAATAGACAAGTGGGATCACACAGATTAAAAATCTTCTACACAGAAAAGGAAACAATCAACAAAGTGAAGAGACAATCCACAGAATGGGAGAAAACATTTTAAGACTTCCCAGCTCCCAAGGGATTAATAAGCAGAATATATAAGTAGCTCAAACAATTCTTTAGAAAAGAAATCCATCCAATTTAAAAATGAGCAAAAGATCTGAATAGACATTTTTTCAAAAGATGACATACAAATGGCAAACGGGTATACTCTACCTCATTGATTATCAGAGAAATGCAAATCAAACAACTACAATGAGATATCATCTTATCCCAGTTAAAATGGCTTTTATCCAAAAGACAGAGAAAAATAAATGCTGATGAGAATGAGGAGAAAAGGGAAGCCTTGTAAACTATTGGTGGGAATGTAAATTAGTGCAAGCACTATGGAGAACACTTTGGAGATTCATTGGGAAACTAAAAGTAGAGCTACCATATGATCCAGCAATCCCATTTCTAGGCATATACAAAAGAAAAGAAATTAGTACATTGAAGAGATATCTGCACTACCATGTTTGTTGCAGCACTGTTTATCATAGCCAAGATTTGAAAGTAATCTAAGTGTCCATCAACAGATGACTGGATAAAGGAAACATGATAACATATATACAATGGAGTACGATTCAGCCATTAAAAATGAGATCCTGTCATTCGCAACAACGTAGATGGAACCAGAGGTCATTACGGTAAGTGAAATAAGCCAGGCACAGAAAGACGAACGTCACATGTCCTACTTATTCTTAAGATATAAAAATTAAAATAGCTGAACTCATGAAGATAGAGAGTGGAAGGATGGTTACCAGAGGCTGGGGAGGGTAGTTGGGGAAAAGAGGGAGTGAGGATGATTAATACGAGCAAAAATGTAGTTAGACAGAATGAATAAGATCTAGTGTTTGATAGCACAACAGGGTGAGTACAGTCAATTAACTTATTGTGCATTTAAAAATAATTAGAAGAGTATAATTGGATTGTTTCTAACACAAGGAAAGGATAAATGCTTGAGGTGATGGATACCCCATTTACCCTAATGTAATTATTACACATTTTATGCCTGTATCAACATCTCTCTCTCATGTACCCTATAAATATATATACCTACTAGGTACCCACACATTTTTTTTTGAGAAGCTAAGAGATAAGAGATAATTCTGATTGTTTTAAGCCCCTAGATTTTAGAGCCATTTGTAACACAGAAATAAGTACCTAATACATTGCATTTGGGGTGCCTCTGGAACATTTACATAAAACTCACACATACATTTCTTATCCTATCAATATTGTAAACACTTTTAAAATCTGTTTTATAAGAAAATTTACATCAAGTGCTCTGTCAGTTCTTGTCACTGCAACTTATGTCAAAAAACTTTTGACTGTTTTGCCTTGCTTAACTTTGGTCAAGGAAGACAGGGAGAAAGGAAGGAAGAGAGAAAGGAAGAGAGGGTCTCCATTACGCAAACAATGGCAAGTGTAATTCCACTCCTGGATGGAGGGTGGTGGAATGATAGCAAGGACAACTGTGTCCTCTGGCACACACATTGCAGCATCCCAATATCCTTTACAGGCATGGATGTGCCCTGTCAGGGTAGGCATGATGGCCCTAAAGACTGGCATTATGCCCGCTCCCACCACTTTCCCTGTCAAAAGAAGGTTGACTCTGACCCCAAGAAATAACCGCTGGGTTGTGTTAAGAAATTTTTATTCTTTCCTTTGGATTTGTGATGAAAGCACATAAAATTACAAGTGGAAGAAACATCATGCCACAAAATTGCATAGAATTATTACAAAAATGTGAATTATGCATTTTAAATAATTTGAGATAGAAGAACCAAAATATGTACATTTTAAGAGCTTCAAATACTTTGTCCTATCTTTTTTTTCTTCTTAAAAGGCAAGAGTCACAACGTCCAATCCATCACAAACAATATTAACACAGTGCACAAGCGCAACATTAAATTCAAAGTAATGCAAGCAAATGGCCCTTTTTTTGGGAATTACTTAATGACAGCTTATCTACTACAGGAGTATTAATTAATGTATGGTGATACTCAAATTTTAAAATGAAATATAAAAAACCAAAAACACATGGCTATGTCATTAGAACTTTGAAAATTGGTTTACATGGCCAAAACCATGCTATTCTCAGTAGTGTAAAGGTATCAGAGAGACACAGTCTAATTT
This sequence comes from Homo sapiens, assembly GCF_000001405.40. NCBI lineage: Eukaryota > Metazoa > Chordata > Mammalia > Primates > Hominidae > Homo > Homo sapiens. The sequence continues at coordinate 8,884,401 of NC_000020.11, read as the reverse complement.
AATACACAGCTCTACTTTCTATTATAGGAAAAACCACAGTACGGAATTTCACACATTCGACAAAGAACAAGGCAAATACATAAAGGCACAAAACTGCACATCATACAGACCCCTTTTCTTTATCTTAGTCTATTTCAAGTAATATTAATATTATTAAATGATAGTATCATTGTAGTAGTTTCAATGATGCAAGATGGACAGTGTTACACACTACCCCACAACTGCAAAAAGTGTCATTGTACAGATATAAAAATGTGATTACAGTAAATGGCCAAATACAAACATATTGTAAAATGACTAAATTCACTAAGATAATGAAATCCAACTACCAAAACAGTTTTGTGTAAGTCAAGGTTATTCAACTTTATTCTATCTCTGGACTAAAATGTGATACAATGTTCTGCAATAATCATCATTGTGTTTGGTTATGAATGCTATTATTAGTTCATTCTTCTTCAATTTCAGACAGTCTGTAATTTTGTTTATAAAAATGCAGCATTCGATTTTGACCATTCTTGCTTCTTTATGATTAACGCCTTTCTTTCAAAGTGCAAAAGTAGAATGATTTACAAAAGATTTCTTTTTCATTGGAAGTTAAGTTTTATTAAGTGTCTAATGAACACCCCAAACCCTTCAGATCAAAATATAATCATCTCCAAAGAGGATGTGATTTTCCCCTTACGTCTTACTAGATGTGTTTTTTTTAATCAAACACTGTTTCCTTATGTTTGAACTAAGCCTTCATTTTGATTAAAATTTAATTGTAATCTCTAGTTATTGCTTAAAGTTAAATAAAATAATTTTCATAAAAATATTAAATTCTTGAAACAATTTTCAGGACACAATTGGTTTTTGCGTTTTAAGATATTTCACAAAGCTACAGTCAGACAGGTTTATTTTAAAGTAAAATAAAACTGTGAGCATCTGGCTTCTGGGTTTTAACTTCAATGTTCATGTGTTACTCTCTAAGTTACATTTTTCTACATATTATTATTTTTCTTTTTTCAGAACTTTCAATTATGCTTTTGATCAGTTTTACCTTGATATAATTTGTTTCTCTTATTCCATCTAAAATAGGAACTTATAAAGACAGAGTTAAGTGAATTAAATATACTTAGTAAATATATAATGGAAGTTTTTTTATGTTAGAATAAAATAGAAATGTGTCAGACTTAAAAATTATGGAAGATACTAATAAATGTCCATATTATTTCTGTCCTAATTTTTTGACCATTAAAACAAGCTTAAAATCTGATACTTAACATCTAATTTTTGATCTTGCAAAATATAAATCAAATTCATATAAGTTCTAAATCTACTTCGGTTTGCATCAATGGCTCCATCAATTATTTCTTAGCGTCTCCATATAATTTAACATCCATGTAATCTCGATGTTTGACCCTTTTCTTCTCTATCCATTTGTCCCTGAATTTGGTTTTAAGTCTTGTGGAAGAGATTTGGGTCATTGTCAATTAATAAACACATGTCTACACTCATGTGTGTGTATGTGTATATGCACTTACATGACTAAGTGGGTACATATATACATGGAGATAATACCTATCATTTACATGTGGGTCTTTGTATTCTCTAGATAAATATTCAATCTTCCTCTCTATATTAAAAATAAATGAACCATAAAAAATGTCAAACGGCAAAATAACCACCGGAACCTGTTCATTCTGATTGAATATCTGCTTAACATATATCAGCTCAACTATTTTTATTCAACAGATCATTTGTAGTTATTTGATCATTTCAGGCCAATAACCAATGAATACCCAGACTTTGAGTGCAAATAGTCAATTCAAACAGCACACTGTCTGGAAGTGTGCGGCCGACTTGCTCATGCAGCCAAATGTACAATCCATATTGCTAAGTCTTAGGATGGCTTCACTGGGCAAGGATACAATCAAGTGATTTTTTTTTTCAAATAGAAAACTTATTTGAATCACTACAGTATCTAATAAAACCATGTCAGCAACAAATACATTGATGACTCTATGATAAATAAATTAGCAAACTGCAAGCCACCAGTGCTTGCAAAGCAAAGGATGAAAATGTAATATGCATGTTGACTTGAAGATAATGGTAGTTGAGGGGCAGTTAGAAGAAACAATGCTCAAAGTCGGCTGTTCAATAGTGTTAAATAATGCTATGCATTTCTCAAACTATTTCTATGACTTTGAAATATTTTACACCAGAGCTTCGAATAAAAACACGAGCTTGATTTTCTTCAAAGAAGACACTGTCCTTCATTAAAAGTTCCATGGAGCCTGCAAGTTGCTTGCTTTGAATTTGCTATTGGAAAGAAAACAAAAATCTCACATACATGCATTCTTCACTAGCAGACCTGTGGAGGTTTCCACATGACACATGGAGCCTGGGCATGGGAATTCTTCATGGATTCCTCTGGAACTCTCCCTTTGGTGTGGATTTTAGGCTAAGGGATGCTTCTCGGGAAGATGGTCCTGGGCAGTGATCTTTGTAATAAGAGAGAGTCCGATGACGCTGGAGTGGCCATGCAATTTCTGAAGGCCTGGCAGGAGCATTCACAGAGGAGTATCAAATTCTTTTCCTGGGATGTCTCCTCCCAGCTCCTCACTGGAGGGAGTCTTGTGGTTCACTTTTCCAGGGTCTGAGGACAGGGAGAGAGGGGCAGAACCGTGATTGCTGTCTTCACTGATCTTTCCTTTCATGGCTTCCTGCACGAATTCCAAAATCTCGAGGGGCAGTCTTTTGAATTTGTCTTGGTATTCTTGCTCCAGCTCCACCTGCAGCTGAGAGACATCAAGAGGGGAGATGACTTGAAGTTGTTTATGTTTCTATACCCACTCCCATAGAAACTCTCTGAAAGAGATATACAAAAGGGGCTGATGAATACATTAACTTAAAATATCATTCACTGGTCACCTATAGAGGAGATGTAACAAAGTTTAGTTGGACACATCATTTGTCTGTAGCTGAAAGTCAACTTCAAGTTATGTGTGGCACAATAAGGCTAAAGACTCAGAATAAGATGAATAGCGGTATCTACAAATGCACACACACACACACACACACACACACACACGGGTCTTTTGAAAAAGGTGTCAGAGTCTGGGCGTGGTGGCTCACACGTGTAATCCCAGCACTTTGGGAGGTTGAGGTTGAGGCAGGTTGATTGCGATTGCTTGAGGTCAGGAGTTTAAGACCAGCATGGGGTGAAACTCCATCTCTACTAAAATACAAAAATGAGCTGGGTATAGTGGCGTGCGGCTGTGATCCCAGCACTTTGGGAGGTTGAAGCAGGTGGATTGCTTGAGGTCAGGAGTTTAAGACCAGCCTAGCCAACATGGTGAAACTCCATCCCTACTAAAATACAAAAATTAGCTAGGTATGGTAGCGTGCACCTGTGATCCCACCTACTTGGGAGGCTGGGGCAGGAGAATCGCTTGAACCCAGGAGGCAGTGGTTGTGGTGAGCTGAGATCGCGCCAGTGCACTCCAGTCTGGGCGACAGAGTGAGACTCCATCTCAAAACCAAAAAAAAAAAAAAAAAAGAAAGAAAGAAAGAAAAAGAGGAAAAGAAAGAAAGAAAAATAGAAAAATGTGTCAGAAATAATATAAAATGATCTGAGGTTCTTACATTTAGGGGTTGAGAAATATTGATAGGTGAGCGTTCCAAGGTCAGCCATGAACCTGGCTGGGGGAAGCTAAGAAGCTGAGTAGAATAGACAGAGCAGTGTGGAGTGGACTTTGAGATGTGCAGCTTTAGTCAGAGGCCTGGAAGCCAATGCTGGGGTCTAAGGAGCAGCTTGATACATTTTCACAAAGTAAACAAACTCGTGTAACCAACTTGAACTTTTATTTTGACTTATTTTGCCACCACTTTATTTTGATTCATTTTTCATTCTAATTTTTATTTGCCTTGTAAACTATTTTAGCTACCCTTTAAACTGTCTCTTAATGTGTCTATTTTATGCCCTGGAGAATTTTCAGATGTTTTAAAGTCCTGGAAGCCTTTCTTCAAATGGAGACTTACGTGGATGTCTTAGTCATAAAATAATATAAAAGCTGGGATTCTCCGGTAGACAGGGAGAGAACGGGGGCAACAGGGAGAGTTGTCTGGTAGGGAGCTGTGCTGTGCTGAGTCCAAGAGAAAACCTTGAATTTTAAAGAAAATTATCTCTGCTTATCAATTGGTGAGCAGGGAGAATAATCCTTGAAACACCATGCAAGGTTAAATGCTTCCCCCACACCTCCTTATTAGCTTGGAGGCAATTTTTAAGACATGGACTTAAAACCTGTATTTTTCCCCCTGCTTTTCAAACTTTAAGTGCACACAAATCGTCTGGAATTTGATCTTGATTCTGTCCGACTCAGGAGGCCTGAGTGGGGCCTGAGCTCCTGCGTTTCTCAATAGCTCTTGGGGGATGCCAAGGTGGTTAATCTGCTTTGGCCACTCTGATAGCTCCCTGTCTGGGTTCTACTCTCAGCCCCCAGTTCTACTTTTTGTCTTGATCCTGGCTGTGCATCCTCCATCTGCAGCTTTCAGGGCAGCCTCTGGGGCTTGTTCTGATCCCTGGAATGCCAGGGTGAAGTCAATCTCCAGGACATCTGTCTTCCTGAGTCTTAGCCTCCTTCTAGACAGTGTCAGCAGCTTGGGAGCATCCCCTTTAGTTCAACTCCTTTCACTCTCACTTCTGTGACAGATAAATTTTGCCATTACTAAATTATTTAATTTATATTAAGTAATCCCTTATCTATCCCAAAGTTCTGAAATCCAGAAGAAGTTTCCTTTTTTTCTTTTTCTTTTTCTTTTTCTGGCAAATTTGTGGCAGACTCATTGACATGAACTGATATTGGGATGATACTGATACATGAAATATGTATAATTTCATGTATGCCCTGTCATATGACTATACATGAACTTAACTGCAGACATATTAATTTGTTTGATTTTGAGGATTACTCAGGTCTGCCTGGAGTGTTATGCTCATGGTATATGCATCACATTGCCTTTCTAAAATCAGAAAAGTTAAAATTCTGAAAAACAACAGGCCCCAAGAATCTCAGATAACAGATTATGGATCTAGTTTAAATGACTTGTTTTTTTTTTTTTTTCACATCAAAAAGTGTGTGACATGCACTTGTATGTTTATCATAGCACTATTCACAATAGCAAAGACATTCAATCAACCTAGGTGCCCATTAATGGTGGACTGGATAAAGAAAATATGGTACTTATAATGTGGAATAGTAGGCAGCCATAAAAAGTATGAAATCATGTCCTTTGCAGCAACATGGATGCAGCTGGAGGCCATTATCCTAAGCAAATTAATGTAGGAACAGAAAACCAAATACCACACAGTCTCACTTATAAGTGGGAGCTAAACATTGGGTATTCATGGACATAAATATGGCAATGATTGACACTGGGGACTAATAAAGTGGGGGAGGGAGTCGGGGGCAAGCCTTGAAAAACTAATTGCTGGGTACTATGTTTATTATTTTTGTGACAGGATCATTCGTATCCCAAACCTCAGCACAATATACTCATACATATATGTTACACAATATACTCATGTAACAAACCTGTACATGTACCTTCTGAATCTAAAATAAAAGTTGAAATTTTTAAAAATTTATAAAAATTATTGAAATATCAAAGAAAAATAAAAATAAATAAAAATAGAAAATGAAAAAATAAAAATAAAAATGGTATCTGGTAAAAATGGCTTAGGCTGAGTATTGAAAGTCAACTATTCTCCCTACATATAAAATGTGGGGTATTTATGAATCTATTTGCTAGCATATAAATTCTTATAAGCCGAGGAGGAAACATGCTGTGAGGGGGCGCTCAGGGCCCTGGACTCATGTGGCTATGATGGAGCACCTTGTACAGGGCCCTACTCTCCATGTTGGCACATACGAGTCACTGGGGCATCAAACAGGAAGAAGACAATTGCCAGTTCTTTCCCTGCTGTTCCAACAATTTAGAAGGAAGTGGGGCTTTTACAATGTCGTACTCTTTTGCATGAATGAAATCTTAGCCTGTTGTTTGACAGCGTCCATTTACTACCATTCAGACCTCATCATCAATTCACCTCAATTTTAATTCAGTAACACATGTGTTTCCAAGGAAGATAGGGAAGGAAGAAAAGCAAGTGAGCCTGTTTTAAGAAAACAACAGATTGTTGTTCTCTTATAGGTTGAACTGGGGGACCTTCAGCTATGGATATATTGTACCTGACCTAGCAGATAATTTCTCTCAGGTTAATGCTCATTGGTGGACAAGACCCCATAGTGCTTGATAAGTACTATTTCTTTAATTATTAACAAAAGAAGTAAAATACAAGAAAATGTCAAATACCTAAACCAATGCTTTTTAACATTTTAAATAATTTAATTCTAAGAAAAACCTACATTTTAGTAATTTAATTTTGATGATGATTTTTAATAATTTATAATAATTGACCCAGTTGTGGCTAAGTTATAACTGTAGTAGACTTTCATCATGGGATAGTAGTAGATTTTATTATATTCTAAACTAAGTCACTGCTTCATGACATATTAAGTGCCATATATTTCACTCTTTTTAAACAGCCATACAATTATTAATGAACTAATTTCAAAATTGTATTTATTACATTCCAAGTTAGAGCTTTTGCTTTTTCTTCTTATAAACTAAATACTTGTTCATTGTAAGAAAATATGAAAAGAATACAGGGTAATTCTGGCTCCGTTCCAACAAAGCCCCATCCATCAGTGGTCTAGAGCTATTCCAGCCCAAGGGTTGCAAACTCAGATGTTACAGGGGCCAGGCAAGTCATGTAAATAAGTAGCAGGCTATGTGCAAGAAAGAGGGGGTTGTGGGGTTTCTGAAGAGCTAGAGATGACAGGCCCTGTCTAAAGGGAGTACAAACAACTCAGTTCTAGCTGATGCTTGTCAGATTAAATATTGAAGTCAGAAATCCACATCTTCATGTAAGAGCCTGAGTTTTTATTGTTGGCAATCAATTCAAATCACATTCATCAGCCCCACTGGGCTCATGGAGAATTTATAACCTTTCCCCTAACAGATTTAAATCTGGCTTTAACCAGGGGACTCCCGAAGTTAGGTCCAACTGTGGAATTCCAGTTTAGATTCTTCCTAATTTTCCTTCCCCATAATCCTAGGCTTAGATGGTCCTCCACAGATCACCAGGGCTTCCTTTTGATTGCCTCTGTTCTGAGGTTCAGCATCATACTATCTAATTGCCATATTCTGGGTTTTGTACTCTAATATGTGTTGAATTTCTATTCTGTGCAAGTGAAACAAGGTGTTAGGTGGGAATGGTAGATTGGTCGTGCAAATGGCAGTAATTCTTCACCCCTCCTTGTAATCATAACCTTTGTGGTGTGACTTTGCAGCTCATCCCATCCCAGCAAAGAACGGAGTGTATTTCTCATCTTCTTGAATCTGGGGAGGCCTTGTTATTTGGTTCTGTCTAGGAGAATGTGTCAAAAGTATATGCTGTTCTGAGTCCAGACGTCACAAGGCCTTGTGTGCTTCTGCTCTCACAGTTAGAAGTTTACTCAGCCATCATGTGAACAAGCTCAGCCTAGCTTGCCAGAAGAGGAGACACATGGCCCAGTTATTATACTTTTTGCATCACTTCAATTGACTATCAGATATAAAAGTGAAGCTATTCTAAACCAGCTCACCCCTAGCTGACCACCAGCTAAACACAGGCATGAACAAGCCTACTGAGATCAGGTGAGCCTGGTCCAGACCAGAACCAGTTCATAGACTCATCAACTTAGCAAATGCTTGTTTTGTGACTGATTTTTATGGTTGGTTGTTAGGCAGCAGTATTATGGCTATAACTTTGAGTGAGGGGAACAGAAAGTAGTCTCATTATGTGGCCTGGACCCATAAAATACTCATAAGCTAACACAGCTGGCCCCATCCTTTCATTGCTGTGGCCTCAAAGCATATTCTTGGAAAAAAAATCACCACAGGACAGATAGATTTTCAAGACAAATGTGATTTTGTAGGCTATGCCTTGGAGCCTTTCTAGCATAACATTGTCAAACTTGAGTTTGTTTAATCTTAAGTTCATAAGACCTCTTTTTGGAAAATGAACAAGAAAGACGAAAGAACATGATTGAATTTAACCTCTAAATTTAAGATGAGTTGTTATTATTATACTCAGATATTAATAAAGAAGAGTGTTGTCAGAGTTTGTTTTATTATAGGCCCAGTTCTTTAATTTGACTAGTCAGGCTCAAATTCTAAATTTCTCAGTTAACTTGATTTTCAAAAGACATTGCCCACTAGTCATTTTTGTGAACTCTGGGTAGTTAAGCAGGAAAAGGCAATACGGTCAAGTTCAAATGTATTCAATTCTTCCTGTGTTGTCAAAGATTTTTGTACTTGGGATGCTTTTCTGACTCTGACATTCTTTTCTTCTGTCTTTAAAAAAGGCAGAGATTTGATATAGTTAAGGAAAGCTTTTAGATAAAAAAAATAAGTGAAGGCCAAGGAGCAAGCAAAGTTACTCTTGAAGGTTAGCTTACAATCAGAAAACAAACAAACAAAACCCAGTATAACATAAATGTGGCATAAATATAAGACAGATTACTGAGTTATGAATCAGAGACAATCAAACCAATTTCCTAAGGAAACAAATTGAAACCAGAGAACAATAAGCCACAATGGAATAACAAAGAAGAATTGAGAAAACTTAAAAAAAAATATGCAGCTGGATAATGTGCAGACAGATATTTGCAAGGTTTTCAAAATTTGGAATTCCAGAGTCCAACTCAGGTCATTTTGCCCAATGAAGTGTATGAAAGATCTTAATATAAAATATAAGGCCAATGTATTTTATAATATAAATATTAATATATTATATTTATATATAAAAATATTTTATATGTTATATAAATATTTTATAATATAAACATAATAAATTAATATAATGTATTACATATATTAATATTTATATTATGTATATTATATATACTACGTATAGTATATATACCACTTTGTAATATAAAATATGAAGCCAATAACAATCTTAGGATTGTTATTTGCTTGTTATTTGCTTCTGTCTAGGAGAATGTGCCAAAAGTATAATTGTGATTGTGAATAACTGTATAATCATGGGGTACAGAGACCTTTTTAAGCAAGACAGAAAAACATAAGAAAGAAAAATATAGATATCTTTATCTAGATGAAAATAATCCATTTCTCTGAAAAATGAGCATAAATAAAGCAATTCATAGGAAAAGAAATAAAATACAAAGAATATATATACAATACAACTATATATATTTGAAATATAGATGAAAGCAGCTCATTAACAATTAGAGAAATGCAATAGCACAATACCTTTTCAAGGGACATTTATTATATTGATTAATTTAATTTAATTCATTAAATTTAAAAGAAATTTCCTTTAAAGAAGCAATAACATTCTGAGAAATTGACACTTTGAAACATTGGGCAATAATTTGACAAAATTTATAAGAAGGCAAACATAGGCTTGTAACCCAGCAACTCCATTTTTGGGAATTTGGCCCACAGAAACAAAACCACCAACATATAAGAATGAATACACTAAGATATTTATTTTTGTACAGGAAAAATAGCATTGATTTAGCATTGTTTGTACAGGCAAAGCAACCAAAAAATAAAACAAAACAAAACCAGCCTGTGAAAACTACCTTAATTTCAATGTTTTGCCACATATGCATTATGTATTGTCTATCTCTATATTTTTTGCTGAGTCATTTGAAAATGTTTCAGGCATCATGACATTTCACCCATAAAGACTGAAGCATACGTTTCCTAAAAAGGTTGCTTTCAGATAGCATTAGCATATTTATTTATTTGCTTTATATTAATATATCCAGAAATAGTTTCAATATTATGACCTGTCAATAAAATAAGCAAATGAAGCTTGAGACTTTTTTGAAGTTCTTTTTATTCATCAAATATATCCTACTAAGGATGCACAATTATATTACTCTGCCAAAATTCACTGAAAGTAATTATATTCTTTGTATGGTTATGTTACCTTAAATATAGACATAGGATCACTTGTTTCAGTTTGTTTTCTCAGTAGACATTTTCAATTATTTTATTCTTTTTCTTCTCTGGGAGCATCTGTTGTGCGTGTGTGTGTGTGTGTGTGTGTGTGTGTGTACATACACATATATATAAATAAAATTGACAATTTAAAATTGTATGTATTTATGTAGTACAGAATGATGCCATGATTTATAAATACAACATGGAGTAATTAAATAAAGCCAATTAACATATTTATCACCTCAAATACTTACCATTTTTTGTGGTGAGAACATTTGAAATTTAATCGCTTAGCAATTCTGAGATGTAAAATACATGCTGCATATATTTAAAATTTAATTCCTTATAGTCTTTTAACACTTTAAAAATATATCTCCTAGCCTTTGAGAGGCAGCAATAATAATATGGTACTCTAATTATCTTGCTCAGAATATTTTGGAATTTACTGCTAAAGATCAGGGAAAATAGTAAAACTAACAAAAAAGCCAAGAAACAGCAAAAACATGAATAAAACGTAAGTGTTTCTGTAAAAAAATCATAAGGCTCTCACTTAAAGAACTATGAGGTAGTCAAATAATATAAACCAATGGCTTTGAAAACAGGGAGAAATAATTATATTTTTGTGATAAGTGAAAAAATGTACCTATAGTTGTATACATACTGTGATAATAACTATGACCATTTTTTTAAAGAATACAAAACGACTTTGAAAAGAAACACTAAAATATAAACTGTGTTAGAATTATGAGTATCTTTATTTATTCTATTTCTCACTTTTATGGTAATGTGATTATTTCATTTTTAGCATAAAAATAGCATTCTAAAATGAAAACAAAATCTAATATAATTTCTATAAAATACAAAAAAGAAAAATGTAGAACTCTGAATGTGGGATACAGTGACTAGGACAATTTTACGAGAATTACTGCAAGGACTATAGTATTTTAACCTCAACATCATCAGTTAGCTAAGTGGATATTAAAAGCAATGGGAAATGCATTAAAATCATACATTCATAGAATGAATGGTTTCAAAATTAAGCCTGAGCAAACGTGCAAGGCCTCATCTTATTTTTAGAATAATCTCATGAATTTTGCTTCAAGAATAAAAATAACAGGATCATAAGAAATTTATAGACTGAGGTTAGTCATGTTACCCAAGGATTGTTGGAAAGTGACCACATGCTATATCCTAACCATTTCAGTTTTTGTTTGTTTATTTGTTTTCCACTAAGTTTCCTTAGAATAAATTGCCATGGGACTTTGAGTCAATATGGCTGACTGAAAATTTCCTTTTCTATTCCAAACATAGGGAAAGGCAAAATGAAACAGTACATACATATTCACTTAAGTTTACAGCTGAGTTTGAATATAAGGAAAAGAAATCCTTAAGTCGCAGAAATAACAAAGGAACTCACAGTTAACAGAATTGATTCTCCATTTTGCGGGGCGAGGAGAGATTGGAAGAGGAGGCCTCAGGATGCCGGGTGTTGGAGTGCTGAACCTGAAGTCCCTGAATAGAGCCAGGGGTGCCCACCCTTCAAATGGGAACTAGGAAAACCCAATCCACAACCTTGGAGATGAGGCAAGGAAGCAAATGATTCATGGAGCACATTGAGGAAAAACATCCACAAAGGGAATTAGAAACCCATGAATGAGTGCAGTTTCCAAATTCATATTACCCCTGTGAATTGAGTACCCAGTCCCAATAATTTAAAGCAAAAACTGTTCAGAAACTGATAAAGCCCACTGAGTCCCAGCAGAGGCATAGCAAATTCAGAATGTTCGGGTTCCTCGGCAACCAAGGGCAGGACTGACACCTATAGACAAACAACTCCTAGAAAACATGAACTCAAGTTCAAAATTACAAACCACTCAAGTAAAATGCAGCTTTTGTTCAACTTTGTAATTCAAGGTTGCCATTGGCAACTGAAATCTAAAGATGAGGAGTGAAATGGTGATCAGTGTATTTCTAGGTCAAAGTTGAAAATACTCCAGATGTAAACAGAAGTAAACTGGATAGTCCATGCCAATGTAGAAGAATACAGGCCATTCACAATGGAAATCAATTACTGCTGCTTTTTATTGGGTGCTGGAGTTTGATGCATGCCTATATTTTGGGTAGATTTTCCTAAATAATTATATTTGCTTCAAAATAATATTAAAATTAATTTTTATCTTGTGAACAAATACCAACTAGCAATAGAACCTGTTACACAGGGCTAAGAAGGCAACATAAGTTAAACTGATGCCATAGATCTACACAAAGTAGACAATTCACTTTGGGATAGATAAGATTCTTTCTCCACATAGGGTTTAGAATGCTTGCATTTTATGAAATATGACCTTGCTCAGCTTATTTAATCTCTTGGAATTTTAACTGTCTCATGTATAACATAGGAATAATAAAACCAATTTTCCTGGGCTGTTAAAAGGTTTAAACAAGATCATACATATTAAATGCTTAGCATACTCTGATTTGCTTATTAATTAATATTGTGTAACCTCATTTTTAAAAAGAGAGAAAAAATCACTTACAGCAAAAAAAATCTAAAGTCCTGCCTATGAACCAGTCCTTGTTCTTTCCAGTTAATTTGAGTCATTATTTGGTCAGTTATGGTACTTGGTGGATTTCTCTTTTGGGACTATATTCTGGTTTTTTGTTGATTTTGATGCATTTGTCAATAAATGGTATTTTGAACACTCTGACCCATGCAAGGCCCTGTTTGGTGTTGTGGTGACTGGAGAAATTAGAATCCGTCCTAGGTGACAAGCAATGGATACGGGGAAAATAAAACATTGGACTGAATGAGTGCCACACACAAGATGGACTGTGGATGCTGAAAATGAAGACTGTATTGTAGCCTTAAGGTAATATGGGAAATACTTTATGAAGGACATGAGACTTAAAAATTGAGCCTTGTAGAATCTGCCAATACCTTTAGTATTATCCTTATTTTGGGCAGAAGCTCTCAACACTTCCTCCATTGGACATACAATAGATGACATTCACTGGGGAGACACAGCTCTGTAGCTGTAAATTCCCTCTTCCCTACACAATCTACAGGTATATATGTAAGTATGTAGATGTGATAGAAAACATGAATCTCAACTTTGAATCTGCTCTAATATATAAAAATTAAATTATCACACATTTACTTTCATGAATTAGCCATAGATTACAATAGAGGGATTACAATTCTCACATACTCTGTTTTCATAATCTATGGCTAATTTCACAGATGGATGCACATTAAAAGTGACAAGGTAATGTACATACAAAATCTCTGGGGATTTTGTTAAGATGCAAATTCTGATTCAGAAGATCTGGGGTGGGGCATGCTACCCTGCATTTCTAACAAGCTCCAAGGTGATGCTGTTGCTGCTGGTCTAAGAACCACACTGTGAATAGCACCACTTTAGACAAAGGTCTTCCAACAATTTTCTCCTTTTGTGCATTCTCTTCCTTCCTCAACAACATTACTTCAGGGTCTAGATAAATATTAAACCATTCTTTTGTAGATCTCATATCTTCAGACTTCTGGAATGCTAATGCTCAGATTTAGATTCAAAGTGTTGATAAGGCTGTTGGGTGAAGGGCAGAATGAGGGTTGCTAAGTTGCCAGAAAGGAAGGTTGGAGGAGTCAAGGACGAGGTAGGCAAAATACTAAGTAGATCCAAATACTGAATCAATAAAAGAGGAAAGACAGAAACTAGAGACCATGTGATTTACCAAGCACAGTTCCTAACATGCATTTCCTTTTTAAACTTTATTTCAAGTCAAAAGCCAAATGCATTCTGACATAGTTCTTAGGTGTGAACTCCTCTATATATGCATATATTCCATGAAACCGCCACAGAGGAAAACTCCTAACATAGTCCATGCTTTTATACCTCCTCTGAGTCCTGAAATATATTTCAAAATTTCTAATCATCTCACAGGTGTCTAGAGATTACTGTAGGAACCTGAAAAAAGAACATTTAACAATTACATAGTCAAACCCTTCATGACTTTGACGTCTCAGAAAATGACTTTAGCAATTATACTCAAATCCTTTCTTTTATTTAGTGAAAATCTGTGGCCCAGAGAAGTTAGGGTCTTTCTCAAGGATATGGCTGGCTAGTAGCAAAACCAGGACCAGGACCTCGTCAATTCTCTCCTCTGTGGTAGATTGACTGGATTAATGGCTCCTCCCTGTACCCAGAGCCTTTGCTTTATGATTCTCAGCTTCTCTTATGAGAGATGAGGAGTCTATTTCTCCATTCCTTGAAGATGATGTGGTCATGCGATGACATTGGTTAATAGGATGTTAGCAGGCATGGCCTATGCAGAGGCTTAAAAAAGCCCTTACTTAGCTTTCACTCCTATTCCTATGGCATGTCACGGGAACATGCTTAGACTACTCTAGTAGAAGATTTAACACAAGGAAAAGAGTTGAGTCACCTCAGTCATCCCAGTCCCATACCCCAAATTATCCTAGATTCATCAACATCCAACTGATACCCAGAGATGTAAGTCAGTCAAGATCAGCAGAGCTACAGAGCTACCTGCCTGACCCATAATGAACCACAGATGTATGAACAAGTCCAGCTAAGCTCCGCCACACTCAGCCAAGATCAGCTGAACCCCACAATCTTATGAACTAAATAAATGTTTATTATTGTAAGCCAGTGAAGTTTTGTGTCTGTTATTTGGTATTATTGTTGCATTTCCCCATGACTCTTATAATTTCTCTCAAAAGTGTGCATTAAGTTCTGTGGCCTTGACATGAAATGAGTTGTTTACCATTTTCCAGGAGCAAAATTCTTATTGCTTTATATACATACCCAAGCCACTTACCCTAAAAGCAACTTATACTACAATTTAGGACAATAATTATGCTACTCAGCAGGCCACGTCAGCCCAGCTAATATGTGAGTTCCTGGCCCTGAACTTTTTATGTCAGCACTGGAATACTTTCTCCTTATGGGGCCTGCGATTAAGGCCTAGAAGTTTTCTATTTTTAGTTAGGTGTTTTCTTTTGGAAGACTCAGCTGGGCATAAAAATGATTGTGAATTAGGAAACAAATTTTGATTGTACAAAAATGATAAATAACCTGCATGTTGTGCACATGTACCCTAAAACTTAAAGTATAATAAAAAAAAATAATCAAGATAATAACCCAAAGACGTTTGTCAAACAGAAAGTTACTATTGTATTTGAAATACCAAAAGATGTTCTAAGTCTTTGAAGATCCTGTGCTCTGGGGTAAGGAAGCTTAAGATACTTGTTTTATAATCTTGAGAGAATAAACATTCAGCACATTGTTCATCAAATCCCATCAATCATGAAGTGAGGAGACTAAAGCCTACCATCCAAGTGGTTCAGCGCAGAATCAAGATCTGAATACTAAATTCTTGCCTCCTGGCCAGGTGCAGTGGCTCACGTCTGTAATCCCAGCACTTTGGGAGGCCGAGGTGGGTGGATCACTTGAGGCCAGGAGTTTGAGATCATCCTGGCCAACATGGTGAAATCCCATCTCTACTAAAAATAAAAAAAAACTGGCTGCGTGTGGTGGCTGGTGCCTGTAGCCCCAGCTGCCTGGGAGGCTGAGGCGCAAGAATCACTTGAACCTGGGAGGCGGAGGTTGAAGTGAGCCAAGATGGTGCCACTGCACTCCAGCCTGGGTGACAGAGTGAGATGCTGTCTCAAAATGAATACATAAGTAAAATAAATAAATTCTTGCCTCCTATCCAGGGCTCCATCCCCACCATTCCAGGCCAACTGTTCACTATGTAAAAACAGGATGTGTGAAGGTCTCAGGAACCTGATATTCTTGTGTGTTGAGGGGAATATAACAAAACATTCCAATGTGTTTTCCTTTCATGTTTAGGATTTCAAAGTTGCTTTCACAAAATAATCGGGAATTGTCTTTTACTGAAAAGTGATGCTGAAGAGGGGTCCCATGGCCCAGGGTCTTATTGACCTGCTGTCCTCTTCATAATACAATACGGTTTTATGGAAAACAACGAGGACCCTCAACCAGCTGCAATTAGCCCAGCACATTTCTAAATCATCACAGGCTTTTCTTTGTGTCTGTCATACTTGGAAGATCCTGGTTTTTCACTCCCTCTGTGTCATTCTTCAGTTTAGGAAATGTTTATTTGATCAGCTAGTTGTTTTTCTGTTTTCCATTAAGTACAGTCTAATTTAATCAGAATACTTCTGTAAAGAATCGGATACCATAAAAAAGAACAAGCAAATGGAAAACTGGAATAAGGAAAAATCATAGCTTAAAAGAAAAAGAAAAAAATCTCTTGGGTTATAACCAACCTAGTAAATTGCTAATAAACAAGGAAATATAGAACCATAAAATAATTATTTACTATAATAATAGTAACATTAAAATTAATTAAGTGCTTATTGTGTGGCAGGCACTGTTCCTAGGACCTTACATGTATTAACTTAATACATGTATATTAATTTCAGAATCTCTGAACTCAAATATCTATGGGGCTCAAGAAGCAACACAAATCTGTGAATGAGATCTGGTATAAGGCAATTGAGAAGTAGTGGAATCTGTAGCCAAGTGGAATTGTATTTCTTGTGTAAAACACTCAAATTCAGCAATTTTAACATATACCAAGAGTCCAATAAAAGGCCCAACTGAGTCTGCAAGTCACTACTTTGTAGCTTCTGATTTAGCCGCACATGAGGAGCAAGGGCATGACAGCCTATTCGAGAGAGGCTAAGAAAGACACCACCAGAAGAATCCCATTCTCTTAACCACACAAACCCTGAAAAAAAATCAATAAAAGCCCTCCGGGCAATTGAAATAAAAGGCCATTCAGAGGCTAATTATTTTTAGATGAAGGATGTATTTCTTTTCAATCAGGTGGAATGCCACCAACCAGAAAGAACTGAACATACATTATGAATTCAGTTCTTACACCGAGTCACATTAGAAGCAAGGTCAATAGTGCAGACGGTGCAAGCAACCATCTCAGAGAACCTGGAGTCCCATGAAGCAGCCTCTTCAGGAAGTCTTGGGTCTCCAAAGGCTTTTTCCTGTGGGGGTCCTGCCCTTGTGTTGGCCTCAGCTTGGATCAGAGTCTCCTCATTGGTGCATGCCTTTATGATAACTCCTTTTAAGATTAACCAAGGATTAGTAATTACTGAACTTGAGCCCTAGCTACAACCACTTTCTCGACTCAAAGCCTGTGCATGGCATTTACAAAACAAGGGACAGGCTGAATCAAATGTCCTAGAATGAACTCAGTTATGTCCCTGGAGAACATCCTTCTCCCGATCACCTAAAATTAGTTTTGGTTTTTCTTTTTCTTTTTATAAATGTATATTTCAAGAGTGGTTAGCCGTCCTAGGGTTTTATCAGGATAATTGATTTTGATGCTTAAGGGAGTATGTCCTAATTACATAGTCCCTCCTTCTAAATATGATGTTTATGTCTCCTGCTTAAATTGCTGTGGTTTTTGGGTGAGTATTTACAATTTTATCTGAAAGGAAACTAGACATTTGTTTCTTGGCCTCACAGGCATTTTGAGAAGCCTGCTTGTTGTGCTTGAATTCTCCCCCCAAGGTGAAGCTGAAAACAATGATGGGATTTCTCAGGGAGAGCAAACTGAGGCAGGGCCAGATCAAAAGGCAAACGAGTGACAGGAGCTGGGTGGTTACAGACAGCAGACACCCGTTCTTCTAACTAGATTACTACTAACTAGTTCTACTAACTAGTTCTACTAACTAGATTATTCTTTTGATTTTTCAAAAGAATCCAGAAATCTGGATTTTGTGTTAAACCTTCTAATTTGTCAGTGTTGCCTTAAATTAGAAATTTACAAAACACCATGCAGGTCGATTTGCAACTTCCGGAGTATTTGGGTAATGTATTCCATCTGTCTGTCTTTGGACTTGATAGTTAACCATCTGAAAGTCTGCTGGGGCCTCCCTATTCAGGGACTGGCCTCTATCCTTTTCTTTGTTGCACTAGTGGAGACTTAACCACATTGCGCTGGTGTCTAAAGTCTTTAACAAGGCAACTATCACTGGGAAGAGGAAGACACTTTCCTTACCCCCAGGTAAATTTTTGATCCTATTCTTGAATAAAAGGCATCTGCTAGAGAATATTGGACATCTCCCTCTTTTCCCATTTCCTTCTTCGTCACGTAAGTGTGGTGATGTAACTGTGCTAAACACATCGGGTTTGGAATGAAAAGTCAGATAAATTGAATAGCAAGTTGTTTTTATAGAAATCCTCTTTTGTAAGTCTTCTAGCCCAGATCCTTTTGTTAATAGATCCATTTCTCGAAGAGGTCTACAGAGATGACTTGGAATACAAAGTCGTCACTTTACTGATTTTATCTTTAGGGTCTTTGTGAGTAGCAGTCAATTTAGAATAATTCTACATTTAGCAGGTTTGGATTCCAGTATTTTGGTCTACATTGCAGAAAATAAGTCGGTATCCTCAAAATTTGCAGGCACCTGTCCACGGTGTCTGCTGTGCCTGGGTGCAGCTGCCAAATCCAAGGACAATGTTTACAAGTCCTCCCTACCACTTTTTAATCCAGGCATAGCCATTTGAAAAATTCTTGCCAATGAAAAGTTAGGGCAGGGCTTTTTGGGGACATATGGGGAATCTCTACTATTTCTTTCCCCTTTCCAGCAAGATCCTAGGGGATGATGGAGCCACATTATGAAAGGAACCTGGTTCTCTGAATTGCCATGATGAGATAAACTGTTCATCAACTGGAAACTCTTATGTTGGACTATTGTACAAAAAAGAAATAAAATTCTATTGTATGAAGCCATTGATATTTTGGTACTGTTTGTCACAGCAGCCAGTATTATGCTAACCAATACATTCTCACATACATATTTTGTGTTGCATGATTTATTTTGAGGTCAGGGGAATGATGAATATACATGCAGATATGAGTGTTTCTCTTATTTATGATTAATCTTTATTAGCCAATGTTTATGCCATAAGGATGGCCTCTTAAATTTCTGGGGGCCTTTTTGGTTATTCTGAAGTTAAAGTAGAATTAGAGAATAATCCTAACTATAAATCTTGAGTACTTTATAACTACCTTATAACTATGAGAAAGAAAGAGCTAGTGTTATAAAGCCCAGGGGAACTTTTACTTTCCATCAATGTTTATCTCTTTCTCCTCTACAAGGAAAGTGCAAGGATGAAAAAAAACTCCCTTTTCTTCCATTGTTATCACTGGATTAAGGTATATACAGAATCTATGGCCGCAGTGAAGTTACTCTTATAAGGACAGGAACCGGTGACTTCAATTCAGTACAATTGCAAATTAGTTTTAAAACACTATTCGTTTTTCTTCTGCTTAGATTCACAAGGCAGAGCTGGTCTGCTAAATCTTACTTTCTCCTTCCATCTTCCCATCAGATAACCATATCCTGACATATATAATTCTGGCGCTGCTTCCCAAAACTTGGGGGTTTCTTCAGAACACTCAACCTAGGAGATTAAAAGCCATTCTGATGCATCATAGGCATCCTTACTTACACAAGGGTAAATGGCTTTAGAGAAAACTACAGCTAATCTTACCAGTGACAGGAAAAATCTTCTAGGTTCTAGTTCTAACAAGCCTGTTCTAGTTCTTGGTTGACATGTCAGCCAGAGAGCCATCCTAATTCCAAATCATGGGAACATACTGCAATACTTGGAATACTGAATTGAATGGCCAATACCACTGATTCATGGCTCATTCTCTATTTACATCTACTCGCTTTTTGTGGCCTCCTCTCCCTCACACATTCATTGATTTATTCATTCATGTGTCCAAAAATTTATCAAGTGTACTTCTGCAAACCTAGCACTGTGACAGGTGCTAGGCAGAGACATGAGTGAGACACAGCCCTGGCTTCAGGAAGTCCCAAGACTAGTAGGAGAATGTGAAACATAAAATAATAAGGTGTTATGCTGAGATATGTAAAATTATATGCAACATACATGGTATACTGCAATATACATGGGAAAATTATATGCAACATACAAATGTAACACAAAGGAGGGAGTGACTACCTCTCCTTGGCATCACAGAATAGAAATCATCTAAGACCAGAAGAGCTGGATATTACTGAATGCCAGTCTTTTTGCACATTTGTCCAGGCGACTGCCACTTAACTTCATCAAAGGCCTACCACATCATTTCCCCCTTTCTCTTTGCAGCACTTCAAATCAAATTTTAAAATAACTAAAAGAGGAAAAATAATAAGAACTCTGAATTGTTTTTTGAAAACTGAAATATTTTGTCTAATTGTATGCCAAGAAAAATAAAACATTCTGAAAATTGAAGATATCTCTTGATACATCAGTGATGAATAAGAAAAGATAATCATGTGCATAATTTTTCATAGTGCTATGTAAAATGCCACTCAGAAACCCTACCAACTTAATCTTTACCTATGAGTTCTTGCTATGAATGACCATCTTTCAGTATATGTTAATAAAAAAATGATTATAAGTATAATAGGGTTTTCAACTCTGGATAGAAGATTCCAACTTTGTGTGGTTTGCCTTCTTCAGAGGTAGAAAAAACTTCCTTTGCTTAACTCTTCCAGTTAGAAGTAGATTGAAAATCAAGGCCTCTTAACATTTTCTTTATCTGAAGAATATAATGTACTTCTTTTGGTTATAATGGTAAAATACAAAACTGATTAGGGCAGGAGCAAGTACGGTGTGTGAGGTTATACAGAGCAGAAGCTCCCAAATTGAGGTCTCCCGAACAGCAGCATCAGCTTCATCTGGGATCTTGTTAGAAACACATGTTCTCAGGCTCACCCTAAACTTACTAAGTCGGAAGCTTTGGGGGTGGGAGCCCAGTCATCTGTGTTTTATTGTCTCCTACCTGATTCTGATGAATCCCAAAGTGTGAGAACTATTGATTTAGAGCTTGAAGAAGGCTTGCAGGTGATTCTCATTTACATGAATTGTTGAGGATCATTCATGTATTTAATGGCTAAGTCTTGCCAAAAAAGTAGTGTCAGTTTGGAAAATATTTTCTAAACCCAAACATACTTGATTATTGTCAGATGCAGGTGTGGGTTTAATGCCACTGAAATTTGAATTATGGAGACTCTAGCATTATAATCTTGGCGAACTTCTCATCCAATTTGAAGCTAATGATTGTTAGTGCCCAGTTTATAGCTCTTTGGCCTAACCATTGTCATGCAGACTGTCCTAATTCCAACAGCTTGCTTTCTCTTGCAGGGTGCAAAAACGGCTGAAACTGCCTGCTCAGTTGGTGTATATAGACTCCAGCTCCCTCACCCTTTGCAAGAAATAACTCTAAGGTGCATAGTCTACATGGTTTCCCAGAATTCCATGCTGGGCTTGATCACCAGTTGCCCACATTTGTAACTTGTCTGAGAAAAGCCACACTTTTAATTGCTACCCTCCCTTTCCTGCTTCACTTCTCTACTTCCCTGCTGGTTTCCTGGGACCACTGCTCAGAAACACTATTATACTCAAATCCTCATCTCAGGATTTGTTTCTGGGGGAACCCAAATGAAGACCTTAGCTTAGTCCTTAGTTTGAATTTATTGGCTGGCATATATTGAGTGGACACATTGCAGGGTTTTCTTGTAGTTTTGGATTAATGTGCCCTAGTCCTTGATGCATGCTGACCTTATTTGACTTGTTTATGAAATGTTTGGGCTGGAGATCTATCATAAATTACCCAGTAACTATGTTTAGATTTAAAAAAATCAATTTCTTTCTGAGTCTAAATAGTTCTACCTGGACTTGAAGTGATTATATTCAAGCAGCAATCCAAGTAAGTTTGAATATATTTTGGTCCCTGACTCTAACCATAGCCAATTAGATTCCTGTTACATTATATGTGATCACTCAGGTTAAGGTCTATAGACCTAACCTGCTATGAAGCTATTTCCAAACGGAGAAGAGAAATTGATGTACAGGAGAAAAGACAGGCTGCGAATAAAATGTGCCCAGCATAGTGATGATACACATTCATTTTCCGCTTCATCCAGCAGCATATGGAATAGACGGATAAACTAAAATGCCAGTTGGTCCTGGTGTTTTTGTTACATAACATTTCAAGTGAAAGAACAGGTTGTCAAGAAAAATTATGCTGAAATTTAAATAAATAAATCATGCATGACATAGTGAGTATATTCAAAAGCAGTTTATCCCATCAAAACAAGACTAAATGTATTCTACAAGAGGAAATATATTACTGTGCTGTATTCAGTAGCAGAAATATAAATAGTATCCTTAAGAAAATAGCTTTTGCATTAAAATAATAATTAAATAATAACATAATGCCAGTCTATTTTTAAAGGAAATACAATTTTAAAGAAAAGTCTTCTGCATTAAAATAAATATCTAATATCCAGTTGTCCCAATGTATGTTTTCAATGTTTTCCAATAAGTCAAGTTAATCAAGTTCCAATAAATCAATGTACATTTTCATTGTTTTTCCAATAAATCAATGTTTCCCAGTAAATCAAGTTAATTAAATTGTTTCCATCAGCCTGCCTTTTTAATTTTATTTAAGTTCTAGATTTTTATAAAGATGGGGTTTTGCTACATTGCCCAAGTTGATCTCTTTTTTTTTTTTTTTTTTTTGAGGTAGAGTCTCACTCTGTCACCAGGCTGGAGTGCAGTGGCACGATCTCACCTCACTGCAAGCTCCGCCTCCCGGGTTCAAGCGATTCTCCTGCCTCAGCCGCCCGAGTAGCTGGGACTACAGGCGCGCGCCACCATGCCCAGCTAATTTTTGTATTTTTAGTAGAGACGGGGTTTCACCATGTTGGCCAAGATGGTCTCAATCTCTTGACCTCGTGATCCACCTGCCTTGGCCTTCCAAAGTGCTGGGATTACAGGCGTGAGCCTCTCAAAGTGCTGGGATTACAGGCATGAGCCATGATGCCTGGGCTAGCCTGCCTTTTAACCAAATGTTTTATCTCAAAGAAAATGACTGAACTCACCAACTAATGACTTATCCTTTGTTCTGTCCCAAACAAACATAATAAGTGTATGATTCTTTACTAACATTTCCTGTGCCTTGATCACATATCATTAATACAAACACACAAGTTAAACTTGTTTGCTTTATACAAGTATGTTTGCATTTCCTACTTGGGATACAAATACAACCAACATTTTTTAAGTAGAAACGCCACTTATCAAGACATATAACCTGATTAAAAACATAGCCTTTTAGATTAAAATATAATCAGAAAGAAAACTGGTGATTTGGTTTTCCCTCACCTTTGCTCACCCATTAATTTCTATTCACCTTCTTCTTCCACTACCCTAAAATATGTATATTTATTTAATAAATCAGTAACCAACTTCTTTGGAAAATGTCCAACAGAATAAAATTGCAATATTTGTCTGTCAAATCAAACATGGACATGATGATGGTATTGATACCTCTAAGAAAGTTGTGTCCACCATGATGTCACAACACTGAGTTGAAAGTCAAAAAACTGATTGAAATTACTTAGTTTCAAATCAAAACTAGTTTGAAAACTAATTAATGATTGTTCTGTCAGTATATGAACTCTTCCCTGTGAGTCTTCTTTAGACATCAGGGAGCTCATAATTCAAGAAACACATGAGAATGCACTGACATTATACTAATTTCTCAAAGAGGAATAGATCTGAAGATGTCTCTCCTGATTCAGCCAGCCTGAGTCCCTGTGGAGATGAATGGATTACTTTAATTAATCAGTGAAATAACTAATGAATATTTATTGGGGACCTACTAATGTAAACAAATGGCTCTGTGGTATTTGGTTTGGGGAGTCTTGAACAGTATAAAACTGTTACCTCTTAAAGGTTAGAAACTGAAAATAAAATTAGTGAGCCAAGGCAAAGTTAAATAATAACACGAGCTAGTCATATAAGGTGAAATGCCAAATCAGTGATATGCACAGTGTTTTGAATTCAGGAACTGTGAATCACTGTGGTAGGACTTGTCTCTGAGTTAATCTATAAAACCAAAGCTTCAAGTTACACCATATGGAAATGAACTTATTGCCAGTGTCTTAAGCACAAAGCTTTTCTTCAGTAGGCCCTTGGGAGCTATTCTGTAATAGTTATCAAATAACAATGACTACTACTATAAATATTTATTGAGCATTTACTATATCCTGGCACTAGGTTAAATGATTAGCAGGGATTATCTGCAAGGATTACCTCTGTGAATTCTCCCATTATTCGCTGGAGTAAATATTATGAGCATTTTATGGTTAAGCAACACAGCTGGTAAATGATGAAGTCAGAATTCAAACTCAGTTATTCTGACTCCACAGTCTCCAATTACTTATAATAATCTCTTCTCCTATCAGGCTTTAACAAAAAGCCCACATATTTATATTCTCTCAATGACTCCCTAGAATGGAAAGTTAGTGGAAGCTTTTATATACAATAAAGAAAGAATAAAGGCAAGATTAATATGTATTATCATGGTAGGTAGAGTGGAGAAAAGTATATTATGTCTTTTTTTTTTCTTCCCTCTCCTACTCCCACTGTATTTTCCAGGTTTCACCACATTCTAGAAAACATTTATTCAGTTGAATAACCCATCACCTTTGAAGACATTTAACTTGCTCCAATAGACCCCAAGCTAGAGTCTACCCTGTGGAAAAGACTTCAACAAGAAATACCTGAGCAACATTTCAGAATTAGAAGGAGATCCTTAAAACATCCAGAAAGATTGAAAAAATAGCCAGCTTTCTTGAATTACTAGAAGACTGAAGTTAAAAAAAAAACCAAAAGGTTTTCAAAAGCTAACCATGATGCCATCTCTAGAAGGAAAAGTTATTCAATTCAGCTGTGCGGGAGAGCAGAACTTTAGAAAGCCTTGCTACTCAAAGTGTGGTCCTAGGACCAGTAGTATCACTTCAGGCCCACTCCAGATCTACTGAATGAGAATTTGCATATTAACAAGATCCACAGGTAATCCACATACACATCACATTTTTGGAAACATGAGTTTAAAGGTAATTGTTATGATTTTCTTAATGTGGATTTGAAGCTGAAAGTGTTTAGACTGAACTATTTGGAACAATGTTCTATTTGTGAGCAGATGTTATTTATAAATATTCTGGATTCGGTGCTTCTTTATTAATTAAAGTTCTTGAGCCAATCAAGAACAAGCTAACTCTTCCTAAGTGCTGGCCTTAGAAGTAGATGAACCAATTAAGAATCAGTCCCTACTTCCAAAGCGGAAACCTTGAGGAAGAGGGACCAGCAAAGAGGTAGCAGGCCACCAACCTCAGGGCTTCTGAGTTGGAAGTGTGTTGCCCAGTTTCCTTGCCCAGGTGGCAATCTGAGAGATTATCTTATCCCTCCAAACAAGAGGTATGTCAGGAGGCTAAAGAGGAACTATCTGTCCCACTTCCACTACTCTAATTTTTTTTTTTTTTTTTTTTGCACACTCAAATTGCCAGAGTTTGAGAACACTACCCTAAGAACAAGAGTTGGGAAAAAGGGAATGGCCTTCTTTGTCTACTGAACCCCTTTTTAAAACAAGATCCTATTTTAAGAGCCTAGCATTAGGGTATGTTCAGTTCATCTGGTCACCTCTAAGTAAGTGAGCAAGGAAGACTTGTGAGCTGTTTACACTGTTGAAATATTCCTATGACCCTATCTCCCTTTAGGACTCGAAGCTATGAAAACAAGCCATGTGAAGGTCAGTGCTGTAGTCCATTGAACCCATCAGTGGAAGTGACCCCAGTGGAATCATACAATCTCTGCACACTCACACTGTAGAGAGCCTACATCTTGGAAAAGGTCCAAGACTCCCCGAGGGATCTCACTTGGACTGCTGCAGCCTTATGCCATTTAGATTTGAATGATTTTTGTGTTATTCTAGCCAGGGCCATCCCTGTCCTATCATTGGAATTTAAACATTTCCATTACTACACAACATCAGGGTCTACTGCCAAAAGAAAATGTTCTTTGAAATTATTCTTGTAACTTGTCAGAACAATTTAGATTTCCTGAGTTTGTGATATTTAGATGCTATTACTGAGGACAAGTCCATACCTAAATATTTCATAATGAACACAGGAGCCGCATTACCAAAACTGCTTGTAACAAGAGCAGGCCGTGGTGTGTGTGTGTGAGTGCAAATGAAACAGTATTTAGTTTATGTTTTGACTGCTAAACCTTTAATCTATTTCAGATCCTGGGGTAGTTAAGGATTGGCTAAATAGGCCTCAAGTAAAGCTAACAATAAAAATTAAATAAAAATTTAATTCAAATACTTAAAATTATGAAACTTATTCAAATGACACCCTCAATAAGGTGAGAAGCAAGTGATAAACTGGGCAAATATTTTCACAACAAACACATCTGACAAAAGAATAGTATTGAGAATATATAAAGAATTGTTATGAAGTAATGAGAAGACCAATCACTCAATTGAAAAAAATTACCAAAAGATACAAAGAGGCATTTTGCTTAAGAAGGAACATGTGGCTAAAGGCAAAACAAAAACAAACTAAATAGAAGGGATGGTCAGTTTCTTCACTGATCAGAAAAAGGCAGATCTAGACCACATTGAGATATCATTTCATACTCATCTTAGTAGGAAATATTAGGAAGTCTGACGTTAATATCAACTATTGGCAAGTGTCAGGGTAATACAGTCTTTCATATATTGCTGAAGAAAGTGTAAAGTGGTATAGTTACTTCAGAAGACAATTTAGCATCATCATGTAAAATGGAAGATTCATATTCCCTATGGCCCAGTAATTCCACAGTTTGGTATACAACCAAGAAAACTTCTGGTACAGAGTTTGCATACTAGGAGATATGAGATGGCATGTTCACAGCAGATCTGCTTAAAACAGCAATCAACTGGACATCACTAAATGCAAACTGACAGTAGAATGGATAAGTGCGATACATTCATGGAATAGAATAAGTCAAAATAAACTATAGCAACATTTAACAATATAGATACCTTATACTTAGATATACTTTATTTAAATTTTTTTCATTAGTACACAGAGAGAAGTTCACATAAGAGAAGTGTGGTAGATTGAGTTTTCAAAAACCCACCATTCTTCACTCCTCTTTTGTGACTTGTTTTGTCAATAGGATATGACAAAAGTGATACTGTTGCAGTGCTGAGTTGTTCTCAAAGGGCCACATGTGCCTCTACTCTTGCTATTGAAACCCTGCCACCAGCAAGTGAACAAGCCTGGGCGTGTCTGTTCACAGATTAGAGACTAAGTGGAGAGATCCGGTCGTTCTAGCAGAGGCCATATTAGACCAACCTACATCCAAGTGACCCTCAAACATGAAAGCGGGTCCAACCAGTATCACCAGCAGAGCTGTCCACCTCATGCTCAGTTGACTCCAGACACATAAGTGAGAACAACTAAGACCAGGAGAACTTCCCAGCTCACCAGCTTGTGGATAATAATAAATGCTTATTGTTTTAGGCCCCTGAGTTTTGTGGTGGAATTTGTTATACAGCAATAGCTAACTGATACAACAAATTCATGGACTTAGGATTTTCTTCCACAAAGTGAACACACCCATTTAACCAGCACTCAGATCAATACCAGCACTCCATAAGACCTCTACCTGCCACCTTCCAATCACTAGCCATCCTGTCCCCTACCCAAGATAGCATATTTTCTAACTCTTCATATACACTGAATAATAATGTATATACTTTTTTGTGTCTGGCTCTTTTTATTTATTTATTTTTTTGAGACACAGTCTTGCTCTGTTGCCCAGGCTGGAGTGCAGTGGTGTGATCTCGGCTCACTGTAAACTCCACCTCCCTGGCTGAAGCAATTCTCATGCCTCAGCCTCCCCAGTAGCTGGGAACTACAGGCGTGTGCCCCCACGCCCAGCTAATTTTTGTATTTTTAGTATAGACAGGGTTTTATCATGTTGGCCAGGCTGGTCTCGAACTCCTGGCCTCAAGTGATTCACCAGCCTCAGCCTCCCAAAGTAAGCAACATATTTTTAAGTGAAAAATTGTAGGCTCCCCCAAATTTTATACAGTATAGGTTCAGTATGGTCCTTTAACTTACATTATCATATTTCAATATGATACTCCATATGATACCATTTTTATGAAGTTAAAACAACTAAGATAAAAAAATAAAGTGTTATAGGAATACATATGCATGATATATATGCACATGTATATCTATAACCATGTAAATATAAAAAACAGGAATATATACATGCACACGTTTCAGATTCATTGTTACCTTGAAGGGCAGAGGGTGGAGAATGAAAGGCCAGGGTACCAGAGGGGGAGAAACCAGTATTGTAGTTTTTGTGGTGTATATGGGTGTGTATTATATTATAAATACAGTAATATGGTCTTGCATGGACCAATGAGAAGGAGGTTGTTCATCCAATTTTCAAAATGTGTGTGTAGAGCTACCTAAATAAAGTAGGAGAACAGAAGGGAAGAAAGGGTTCTAAAAAATAACCAGTCTGTGGCAAATTTTACATCTGAGAAGACCAAAAAGACTGAAGACCACAAAATTTAAGTGACTTGGCCAGAAGTCATTCAGATATTCTTATGACATGAATTTGATATGAAGAAAATACATTTTAAAGGTAGTTTTCCCCCCTTATGGTTTATGGTTGAAGCAGATTCTATTTTCTTACAAATGCTGTGTTCTGATATTTAAAATGTTGTCTGGCATCATTAGGTCTCAATCCCTTCTTAGAACAAAATGTTCCTGCTCTCTCCCATTTGAAGAGTATTCTTTCTTCAGATGAGTTTTCTAAACTTTCCTATTAAACTTGCTGGAATGTGAATGGGGAAATTAGAAAGATTTTTGTTTTTTTGTGTGTCAGTGAGGTGATTCATCACAGCACATTTCTTAGAATTTGGAGGGAATCCTGGGTCTGGGAGTGCTGGTGACTTGGAACAGGTTCTGCTGCAGCTGGGTGAACTTGGTCTTTGTAGACTTCTCTCTCAAGTTTATCTCAAGAGGGGGATTTGACCAAAGAGTTAGAATGGAAATAATGGCATTCTTCTCCCATTTCTTATTTCTGACCTAACAGCACAACTCAAAATATACTCAGGTGTTCTTTTATCTTGTGAGATAACTCCCTAGAATTGGTGGGAGTGAGTGGGGGGGGAAGAATCTGCTCTCCCCTGCACCCCTTACCCCATTTCTGAAATGTCTGAATCTTTCTTCCTTCCAATCATATGCTCAAGAATATCAAAAAGAGAAAGATTTCCAAGTCAGTTCTACATTTTGATCACATCCCCCTATTAATCATATGTTTTTGCTACCATCTGCAACAGAGAGAAATTTTAAATTCATTGTGCATACATCGTTTAAAATTTCCCCTCTCCGTTATGTTATTTAAACTTTTCCTACATATCAATTAGTTTGAAATAATAAGTCTTTAGGCTATCCATTAATTGCTGTACTGTAGACATGATCTGTATTTAAAATTATGCAAGGAAAATTAAGCTGAAGCACGAAGGAGTCTTGGCTAACGGTGAAGGCTTCTTAGCCCTTCAGAGCAAGAACTGAGATAACGAGGACAGGAAATACACAGGAGGCTCCTTGCCGAGTTTGTCGTTCGCCAGCGTGGAGACGTGAAAACAGACTGCTCCAGCTGTGGGCTCTTCCTCGCTTTTCAGTTTTCCTTTTGAATTCTTACTGTATTTGGTCATGCCGAGGCAGAAGAAAACGATTGTCAGCCAAAGGTCCTTTTCCAGTAGAAATTTATTATAAATAGTTTAACAGCAACTTGGCTTCGTAATTAATTTCCCTACTCCCCTCCCCTTGCAAAAAACAACACATCTCCATTCTGTAATCTTGATTAAGTTTGTGGCAGGTAGAAGGGCCTGGACCCGGGAGAAGAGGAGAAAAAGGAGAGGTGTTGGGGCTGGTAGCCTTACTCATTAGTGCCTTGATTTTAGTAAACACCATGGTGTTATTGGAAGAAATATTACTTAGAATGAAGAAGAAATCACAGAACTCTCTGTTGCTTGTTCAGAGCCCCTGAGGCCTGGGACCTCTGCAAGATTCTCGGCTTCCTAATAACCAAGGCTCTAGGCAGTGCTAAAAAAAAATGCCCTCTGAGATCTGTCTGCCTGATCTAGTCCCACCCTGTTGGGTGGTAGTT